>NC_000009.12:107462976-107614491 GCF_000001405.40 Homo sapiens
TGCTGCATGCCTTGTCATAATATGTAAACACTCTCTAATTTGTTCAATGTTCTGTATTAATAAAGTTTGTGTCCTATCATTTCCAAAGAGTCTCAAAGAACGCTTGCTCAGATGGCCGGTGAAAAGTCCCACTTTGTCATACCTAGGAAAGCAGCATCTTTTTTTAATTTTATTTTTAAATAAATAGGCTGAGCTTGGTGGCTCTTGCCTATAATCCCAGCACTTTGGGAGGCCGAGGTGGGTAGATCACGAGTTTAGGAGATCAAGACCATCCTGGCCAACGTGGTGAAACCCTGTCTCTACTAAAAATGCAAAAATTAGCTGGGTGTGGTGGCATCATGTGCCTGTAGTCCCAGCTACTCAGGAGGCAGAGGCAGGAGAATCGCTTGAACCCGGGAAGTGGAGGTGGCAGTGAGCCGAGATCATGCCACTGCACTCCAGCCTGGGCGAGAGAGTGAGACTCTGTCTCAAAAAAAAAAAAAAAAAATTAAAATTAAAAAATAAATAAATAGAGATGGGGTCTTGCTATGTTGCCCAGACTGGTCATGAACTCCTGGGCTCAAGTGATTCTTTTGCTTCAGCCTCTCAAAATGCTGGGATTACAGGCATGAGCCACTGCACCCAACCCAGCATCTTTGTCTAACAGCATAGAGATAAGGCTGAATTGAGAGAAGACTCTGTGTTGTAGAGATGAGCACTGTGTCCAAAGTCGCTCTACCTCTTTGAGGTTCATCTGGAAAATGGGCTGACAATTAAATGGATATAATGTACACAGAAGTGCACTGTGACTGGTGAGGCCATGTAAATATTGAACACTGGTTTTCTGTATTTTTTTTTTCTCACTTAAAGTTCATCATATTAGAGATCTTGAGAAGTTACCAGTATGGGACCTCAAAGTTGCTGGTGCCTTATCACACAGTCCCAAAATTTGGATTGCTGGCATAAAATATTGTATTACGGCCGGGAGCAGTGGCTCACGCCTGTAATCCCAGCACTTTGGGGAGGCCAAGGCAGGCGGATCACCTGAGGTCAGGAGTTCAAGACCAGCCTGGCCAACATGGTGAAACCCCGTCTCTACCAGAAATTCAAAAACATTAGCTGAGCATAGTGGTGGGCGCCTGTAATCCTAGGTACTCAGGAGGCTGAGGCACAAGAGTCGCTTGAACCCGGGAGTGGGAGGTTGCAGTGAGCCAAGATCACACCACTGCACTCCAGCCTGAGCGACAGAGTGAGACTCTGTCTCCAAAAAAAAAAAAAAAAAAAGAAAAGAAAAAGAAAGATAAGTTTACTGGGCTGGGCGCAGTGGCTCACGCCTGTAATCCCAGCACTTTGGCAGGCTGAAGCAGGCGGATCACCTGAGGTCAGGAGTTTGAGACCAGCCTGGCCAACACGGCGAAACCTCGTCTCAACTAAAAATACAAAAATTAGCCAGGCATGGTGGTGGGTGCCTGTAGTCCCAGCTATCAGAAGGCTGAGGCAGGAGAGTCACTTGAACCTAGGAGGCGGAGGTTGCAGTGAGCCAGGATCATGCCACTGCCCTCCAGCCTGGGTGACAGAGTGAGACTCTGTATCAAAAAAAAAAAAAAAAAAAAAAAGAAAAGAAAGAAAAGAAAAGAAAGAAAGATAAGGTTACTGGAGTTCAGAGAGGTTGCAGGAGAAAGATAGCCAGGAACTAACTAGCAGGGCTGCCCTTGACAGTCAGGTCCTCTGACTGTGCATTCCATTGCACTATGTCTCAGGACTGTGTGTTATTATTTCTAACATCACCAATTTCCAGAAAGGATCCCAGGCATTTGTGGAAGGGGTGTCAAGGGGAGAGAAGGAAGAAGAATCCCAACAGTTAAAACCTCCCACAGCCCAGGCTTCCTGGTCACAGACAGGGCTGCAAAAGGCACCCTAGATGGGCTAGCTGCTGTGGGTGGGTGAGACTTGCATTGAGTACCTACTATGTGTTTCAGGAAAAAGGACCCTGAGCGTCGTGGCTCACTCCTGTAATTCTAGCACTTTCAGAAACTGAAGTGGGAGGCTTGGTTGAGGCCAGGAATTTGAGACCAACCTGGGCAATAAAGGGAGACCCTCTCTCTACAAAAATAAATTAAAAAGAAAAGAGCGCCGCCTGTGAGTAGGGTCAAATGTTATGCACTGCACCTGCTACGTGCTACAGATACAGGTGGTCTGGGACCCGCCAGCTGACAGTGGGAGTGAGTTTGCCCCGAATAAGGAGTCCTTCATTTCTCATCTTGTAGCAACTCTGTGGGTGGAGTATGATTACTCCCATTTTGCAATGAGAATATTTAGGTTCAAAAAGGAGACAGCTGAGGCCACAGCCATAGATGGAGTTAGTGGCACTGCAAGACTGGACCCCAGCTGGGTGCTCAGGTTCCTTTTCTACCTCAAAGGAAAGGTAGAAACCATCCCTATCTGCCACAGAGGAGCAGACTCCAGAGAAGCCAAAGCCTAGCCAGCGAGTAATCATAACGATGTCCGTCTTTTAGCGAGTATTTGTCATGTAGCAGACACGTTATTGCACATTCCCACTTAATGGTTACATGACCTTGTCCCGTCTATTTTCACGTTAGCCAAAGGGAAGCCTAGAAGTCCACAGTCCCCGGGAGCTGGAAGCCAGGCAGTGACAGCGCCAGCGTATTCTCCTTGACTTGATTGTAAATTTCACAACTTTGGTAGCTTCAACAGGGAGGAAGAGGAGGGGCGCCGGCTCCCTCCAGCAAAGGCGGCGCGGAGCGGGTAGCCAGGTCCGGAGCCGTCCTGTGCCGGGCCGTCCGGTGGGGGGCACTGCAGACCGCGCGGGCGCTGCGCCCGCCTCTAGCTCCGGGCGCAGAGGGGTGGCCACGCTCTCCTGAGTCCCTCGCGCCCCTAGCCGCGCCTGGGAGAGCGGACTGGCCTCCCAGAGAGGATGCGGGGGAAGCCGCACAGGGGCCCACTGGGACTGGGTAAGGGCGCGGGATGGGATCGGCTCTGGATATGGGTGCCCCCCGAGCCGCGCCCCACCCCGCGAGCGCTCCCATTTGCACCTCCACTTGAGCACGGAGCTTCAAGAACGAGCTATTCTGGGGTGCGGGTTCCGACACTAGGCCCCACACGGATCTGGGGACTGGTTTGGCTACGACCTGGCGGAAGGGGGGAAACCTGGCCTGAGAACGGAAACTGCGGGACGATCCGGCGGCGCACTTAAATCTGGCTCCGCTGCTTCCTCGCCCCGCCCCCGCTGTCACCTTCCTCTGCTTCTGCGCAGCGATTCCACACCCCACTCCACCCCATCCCACCCAGACCGCTCACCCGATTCTGACTTTGAACCCAAAAGCGATCAGGCGTGTTCTGGGCCCGGCCACAGCCAGCGGGCGCTCTGGCCCTCGCAGAAGCCGCCGCAAGCGGGCATCGCTGTCCCCAGGGAGGGGACCCCAGCTAGCACCAGTAGAGGTGCAGTCACCCTTTTTAAGGTTACTCGGAGGGTAGATGCGGCATCCACTGACCTTGATCTTTTCCCACAGTCACCTGGGACCCAGGCATATAATGTGGGCAGTTTAATGAGGTGTAAACGAAGTGCAAATGGCCTAGAAGCCCCTTGAATGTGAAGCAGGATGGAGGCTTTCTTTAGAAGGGGGGTTTTACTCACTCTGGGAATTCTGGTAACAGCAATAGTCTCTGATTGTTAATTGGTCATAATTACTTTGTTAGAAGTCTGTACACCATTCCAAGTTCTAAGGCGACGAGAAAGAATATTTCTGACATTTACAACGGGAGGGAAACAGCATATTACTTTCTCCATTAGGATATACATTAGCATATTGTTGAATTGAATTTTCCGCCTTCACTTTTTAATATATTTCCAATTTCCAACTACTCCCTGGAAAATTTTAAAAAGGGGCAGCAGAAGGATTGGTGATGTGCATGCCACAGATGGAGATGGAAAAACTGCCCAGAACATGTTGACATTTGTAAAAAAGTTAACATCCCCCCACACTTTAAAACTATGATATTAGGAATAGCATAATGGCAAAAGTTACTCGTACAACATCTGTTCCTTCCAATGGGAGGATTTCTTTCCTGCCAAGAATTTATGAATTTTCTATAGGAGCTTGGTTCTGTTCGGGGAAGAGGGAAGGAAGCCAGCCAGAGCAGCCCCTTGGCTTCAGGGAATGCAGGGATGCATTGCTCCTGGCTTTTAGATGGCTCCTGAAGCTGCTGATGGGGCCAAAGTCACCCTTCAGAAGGACTTGGCTGCAAACAAGAAAAATCTCCAACAGCCACCCATGGTTTAAAGTGACTAGGCCGTCACTAAGAAAGGTCAAGGCCATATGGCTTGAGGACAGAGATGAGTTGGTTATAACTCTCATTCGCAGAAGACCTAATCCTTTTTGGAGGGCAAAGGAAAGAGTTTATTATAGGGATAAAACCCAACCAACTCATATCAGTTCATTTCAAATGTTTCATTCATTTTCACATTGACCAGATAAGTGTTTGTTCACTCATCTCAGAAACTTCAATCTCTTCATCTACCATCAATTGTCTTTTACCCTTGCTCAATTGAATCTCTGGTGACTGGAAACTTTTATCTTTCTAAAAAAGCATGATGTGAGTGCTCAAAACAGCCATCTGGGTGAATAGGACGCTAAGTGGATTAGCAGTTGAAACATTAATGATTCACTTTTGACTCAAAGCAAGTTTATCTAAGCAGATTTCCAATGGTCTTCTCTTTTGCAATCAAAAGAACTTTCTGCTCTAGAGAAGCCTCTGTCCAGGAAGGGGGAGATTACCTTTTTGCACTTTAAAGTGGACCATTTTAAGTTCTTGATTTTTGTTGTTGTAGAGACAGGGTCTCACAAATTTGCCCAGGATGGCCTTGAACTCCTAGCCTTAAGTGATCCTCCTGCCTTGGCCTCCCTGGGATCACAGGAGTGAGCCATCATGCTTGGCTTTTTTTTTTTTTTTAAGACAGAGTCTCTCTGTCACCCAGGTTGGAGTGCAGTGGTGTGATTTCAGCTCATTTCAATGCCCCCACCCCCGACACCCCTACCCTGACCCCACCACTCCGATGCCAGGTTGAAGAGATTCTCCTGACTCAGCCTCCTGAGTAGCTGGGATTGCAGGTGCCTGCCACCACGCCCAGCTAATTTTTGTATTTTTAGTAGAGATGGGGTTTCACCATGTTGGCCAGGCTGGTCTCACACTCCTGACTTCAGATAATCTGCCTGCCTCAGCCTCCCAAAGTGCTGGGATTACAGGCATGAGCCACTGCACCCAGTCTTTTTTCTTTTTTTTTTTCCACTTGGAATATTTTTAACGAAACATGAAGAAAAACTTTCAATCCATTTAAGATCAGGAATCTAAATTGGGAGTCTGTCTGAGCCTACTCTGGCTCAGGAAGCTGCCTTATAAAAATAATAATAATGATAATAATCTAAGTTGTTCCCATTTGGCAGTGGTTGCGGGGTGGAGGAGGACAACAGCAACCAACATCAAGGGTTTGGTTCAGTCTTTCAAATCAACAATGTTTATTGAACACCTACTATGTGCCAGGTAGTTTCCTAGGCATTGTCCTCCTCCTCATTCTAGAGGGAAGCTAGAGAATAAATAGATCCAGTATATGTTACAGTTCAGGTAATCGTAAGTGTCATGAGACAACATCAAGCAGGTTAAAGAGATAACAACATGAGCAAGGTGGGAGGGCTCTTTTAGTATAGTCAGAAAAGGCTGCTTCAAGGAATTGGCATTTAAGTGGCCCTTCTAGAATTTTCTGAGTGCATATATACCCCCCAACACGTAAACATAAATGTATTTTACCAAGTTGGATAGTACTAAGCTCCTCCCCTTCACCCTGCCCCCTCCCCGTTAACTTCTGAACATTCTTCTGCATATAATGAGCAGGTGGCTCAAGAATATGGGTCTGAGTAGAATCAGGTTTAAATTCCAGCTCCATCACCTGCTTGTTTTGTGACTCAAGGCAGGTTACCTAAGTTCTTTTTGCCTCAGATGCCTCGTCCCTAAAATGAGAACAGTCATGACTACCTTATAGGATTATTGTCGGGACTGAATGAAAAAAAATGCCTGTGAAATGCTGAGTACAGAGACAGCATGGAGTAAACCTTCCTAAATGTTGGCCCTTATTTATTATTGTTTGTTTGTTTTTGGAGACAGAGTCTCGCTTTTGTCGCCCAGGCTGGAGTGCAATGGCATGATCTTGGCTCACTGCAACCTCCACCTCCCAGGTTCAAGCGATTCTCGTGCCTCAGCCTCCCGAGTAGCTGGGATTACAGGCACCCTGCCACTGCCCCCAGCTAATTTTTGTATTTTAAGTAGAGACGGGGTTTCACCATGTTGCCCAGGCTGGTCTCGAACTCCTGACCTCAGGTGATCTGCCCCACTTGGCCTCCCAAAGTGCTGGGATTACAGGCATGAGCCACCGCTCCGGGCCCTTATTATTGTTTACTAGATAATTTTAATGGCACATAGGAGTCCATTCTAGGGATGTCAGAACTTATATAACCAATGCCCTACTGTTGGGCAGAGAGAATGGGATATATATAAACCTAGCAGATGACGTGAATGAGCTAAAGGAGAAAAGTGAAACAACAACTAAACAAAATAAACAAAACCCAACACATGTAGAAAATAGTCCAAATCAACACATTTTCTAGGAGAGACTCATTTTTCTTCTGCTATCCCTGATGCTAAACATACCCACTCATAACAACCTGCCTGCTTACCTACCACTTGCGTCTTGGTTAGGAGACCCCCTAGGTCTTGCTTCTATGACCTCATGTGCAGGCGGAGGATGAGGGTCAGGAAGTGTTAGGTTGGAATGAAGTTCTGCAGTGGCCTAGCTGTTGGGAATGTGAGGTCTCATCTTCCTCATTTGTGCAAAGCAGCCTTGAAATAAAATATTCTTTGGGGTTGGGCACAGTGGCTCATGCCTGTAATCCCAGCACTTTGAGAGGCCAAGGCAAGTAGATCACTTGCAGACAGGAGTTCGAGACCAGCCTGGCCAACATGGTGAAACCCCAGCTCTACTAAAAATACAAAAATTAGCCAGGCATGGTGGCGGGCACTGTAATCTCAGATACTTGGGAGGCTAAGGCAGGAGAATCACTTGAACCTAGGGGGCAGAGTTTGCAGTGAGCCAAGATTGTGTCACTGTACTCCAGCCTGAGCGACACAGTGAGACTCCATCTCAAAAAGAGAAAAAAGAAATAAAATGATCTTCGGAACACCTTTCAGCTCTGTCACTCATTTGTTCCCAGACTATGCTCTGGTGCTCCAAAGAGCCTTCCTTGCTTCTGAGATCTGAAATGGCTCTCTGAGTCATTTGTTCATGCCCAGTGACATAGACCCAGATCTATTTTAGGCTGAGATCCTGTTTAGGGGAAAGAAATTATCTTTAAATATTGGTAGCATTAGGAGAATGTTGGCAAAGCATTTTGGAAGATGGGCAAAGAAGCAGGAGTGTTTCCCATGGGCCATGGCTGAGAATGTGGGCTCTAAGCACAATACTCGAATGTGCCGCTCCTGGGGTGAACTTCCTCTCCCGTGTTCTCCATTTAAGGAGGCCTCAGAGTGTGTGAACTTCAGAAAAGATTCTTTCTTCGGAGTACTTCCAATTGGCCCAACTATAAAAAGGGCTGCTAGTTTTTGTTTCAATAGATTGAATACATGCGTAAAATGCTTTGAAATCCGTGAGTGAAATACCCGGGAAGAAAGGCAATGACCTATTTACTCTTGGTGATTTTATAGCGGTTGTGGGGATGCTATCATGCAGAAAACTATTGCCTTTTCTTAAGTCACTATCCAAACTGGATCCTAGAAGAATGTGGTGTATTTTTAATCGAGCCACAGATAGGATTCCTTGCCTTGCCGGGCGCGGTGGCTCACGCCTGTAATCCCAGCACTTTGGGAGGCCAAGGCAGGCGGATCATGAGGTCAGGAGATTGAGACCATCCTGGCTAACACGGTGAAACCCCTTCTCTACTAAAAATATGAAAAAATTAGCCGGGCACGGTGGCTCACGCCTGTAATCCCAGCACTTTGGGAGGCCGAGGCGGGCGGATCACGAGGTCAGGAGATCGAGACCATCCTGGCTAACACAGTGAAACCCTGTCTCTACTAAAAATACAAAAAAATTAGCCAGGTGCTGTGGCGGGCGCCTGTAGTCCCAGCTACTCAGGAGACTGAGGCAGGAGAATGGCGTGAACCCGGGAGGCGGAGCTTGCAGTGAGCCGAGATCCCGCCACTGTACTCCAGCCGGGGCGACAGAGCAAGACTCCATCTCAAAAAAAAAAAAAAAAAAAAAAAAAAAAAAAAAAAAAGATTACTTGCCTGTATTAGAAAAGGGATGGGTTAGGCCAATCTTGCCCATATAGCTTCACGTGCACCAAATACAACCCTTGTTTAGAAGAAAAAATCAAACACACATCCCAAGGAGGTAAGGAGCAGATAAAGCAGAAGTTAGCTTTACTTTATCTGAGAAATGGTGTGATATGGCAGTAGGAGCCTGGGCTTGCAATCCGGCACATCTGGGTTCCAATGACAGCTCTGTGACCTTGGACATGTCACTTGACTCCTCTGAGCCTCGGTGTTATATAATAACAAATTCCTAAACATCTAGCAGAGTTCTTGGCATACCATATGTGTTCAATGAATGTGAATGCCTTTTTCTATTCTACCTCTAGCTCAATCAACCAGCAACTCCAAGTTTATGTTTCCCAGTACATTCATCCTGACATGCAAAAAATGTTTTCCTGTGGTCAATGACAAAGATAAAGGAGCAAGAATCTGAAGCGTTAAAAAGAAAACAAACAAATAAACCACGTGACCTAAACCCACACTCTGAAAAATTGTCCCTCCTCACGCAGTTTCTATTCCAGGCTTTATGTGGCCAATCTGAGAAGGTTCTCAAAGCAAATGTTAATTAAAAATGTTTACCACGCTGGACTTGGTGGCTCACGCCTGTAATCCCACCACTTTGGGAGGCTGAGGCGGGTGGATCACCTGAGGTCAGGAGTTCGAGATGAGCCTCACCAACATGGAGAAACCCTGTCTCTACTAGAAATACAAAATTAGCTGGGTGTGGTGGCAGATGCCTGTATTCCCAGCTACTTGGGAGGCTGAGGCAGGAGAATCGCTTGAACCCGGGAGGCAGAGGTTGTGGTAAGCCGAGATTGCACCATTGCACTCCAGCCTGGGCAACAAAAGCAAAACTCTGCCTCAAAAAAAAAAAAAATGTTTATCAGGGCTGGGTGTGGTGGCTCACCCTTGTAATCCCAGCACTTTGGGAGGCCGAGGCTGGCGGATTATCTGAGGTCAGGGGTTCGAGAACAGGCTGACCAACATAGCAAAATCTCATCTCTACTAAAAATACAAAAATTAGCCAGGCATGGTGGTGGGCACCTGTAATTCCAGCTACTCGGGAGGCTGAGGCAGGAGAATCACTTGAACCCGGGAGGCGGAGGTTGCAGTGAGTCAAAATCACGCCACTGCACTCCAGCCTGGGCAACAGAGCAAGACTCCTACTCCATATAAAAAAAAAAAAAAAGTTTACCAAAGGACAAGTAGTTAAACATCGTGTACAGCTGAGAGTATTGTTATCTGAAACCTAAAATACATTTTCTCAAACCTTTATTTATAAACAAAGACATTGAACAGGAGTGTTCAAATATGTCCCCAGGCAGTCAGAGGCTTTTCTCTTTCATTCCTTCTGCAGATCCACTGTCTGACCATATCTCTGTGTGCTTTCTTTCTCTAACAAAGAGCCATGCATTCTAATTAAGGAAATCAATGAAACGTGCAGACCTCTACCCTATGAGTTGTTTGTCAGTTGGCAAATAGATTACTGGCTCGGTTTTGCTGGAGCCCAGGTAGACTCCACCATTCACAGAGAAGATCAACGTATCACACTTCCTAATCAGTACAACCATTCGACCAAGCAGTTTTATCAACTTTTTAACAAATAGTATCATTTGTGTATCAGAACAAGAACATGAAAATAAAAGAGAACTAAACCTCCAATGGGGTCATGTGTTTCCAAATGCAAATTGAGATCCAAACATTAAACAATAGAGATCATCTAATCCTTTTACAAAGACCCAAATTGCAAATCCAATTCCCATGCCAGAGTGGCTTTGTCTAACAAAGTCGTTAATGCAAAGAATCCCCTAGGCAAAGCCTCTTCTCTTTCTGTGGGCTTTGGCACAGCGAGAGCTATATGTGATGTCAGTTATGCTCTCTCGCTGTAAAGTTAATTGTGCTTAAAACAAAATCACGTGTTCTCGTGGTCTAGATATGCAGTTTCCAATCCATAGCAACCCAAGGTGTCTTGGTTTGAAAATTAAGACCCATTCTGACCAAATTATTAATTCCAACAGAATTTTGTGATATTTTTGAATAGGGCCAAAACCTTCATGCTGAATCTGAAAAACACATCTTAATATGCCTTAACATGCACCCGATAAACAAGTTAAATGTATCTAAAAAATAATAAGCAATCGGCCGGGCACGGTGGCTCACACCTGTAATCCCAGCATTATGGGAGGCCAAGGTGGGTGGATCATGAGGTCAGGAGTTCAAGATCAGCCTGGCCAAGATGGTGAAACCCTGTCTCTACGAAAAATACAAAAAAATTAGCTGGCCGTGGTGGGCACCTCTAATCCCAGCTACTCGGGAGGTGGAGGCAGAGAATTGCTTGAACCCAGGAGGCAGAGGTAGGAGTGAGCTGCGATTGCGCCACTACAATCCAGCTTGGGCAACAGAGCAAGACAAAGTCTCAAAATAAGAAGAAGAAGAAGAAGCAATCAAGAAAATTGTAGGGGGGAGAATGGTATATGTGGTTGTAGTTAACATGGTTGAGTCTTGCAAAGAATCATGTATCACTTTTTTAAGAAAGGTAACAATTTTTTTACTGGGGCTAGAAAGCTGATTTTCATTTAACTTACACTTTATGCCCTTTGCAGAGCAGTTGCAGGAGGAAACAGTATCTGTAAACCTGCGTATTCTTTTTTTTTTTTTTTTTTGAGACTGAGTCTCACTCTGTCACCCAGGCTGGAGTGCAGTGGCATGATCTCAGCTCACTGCAACCTCTACTTTCTGGGTTCAAGTGATTCTCCTGCCTCGGCCTCCCAAGTAGCTGCGATTACAGGTGCCCACCACCACACTCAGCTCATTTTTGTATTTTAAGTACAGATAGGGTCTCATCATGTTGACCAGGCTGGTCTCGAACCTCTGACCTCAGGTGATCCACCCGCCTCGGCCTCCCAAAGCGCTGGGATTACAGGTGTGAGCCACTGCGACTGGCCATATTTACAGATTCTTACTCATCTTTGCTTCTCCTGCCCTTTGCACAGTGGCTAGTAAAGTAGATCCTTGAATTGATTACATGTGTTTGAATCAATTGCATGGAAAGAGAAAGTGGAACAAAGCCAGAATGATACTATCACATTTTGAGGGAATGGTTCCTATGTTCTCTCTAGAGGGAACACAGTGACCAGTGAGTAGTCCTGTCCTAGCTGGCCGGTAACAGAGCACTATACAGAAGGATGATAAAGCACAGTAAAATACTTTTTTGGATGTTAGAGCACAACATTACATTGAATTTAGAACTTTCCAGGGCCAGGCACTGTGGCTCATGCCTGTAATCCTAGCACTTTGAGAGGTCGAGGCCCTTAAGCCCAGGAGTTAGAGACCAGCCTGGGCAACATAGGGATACCCTTGTCTCTACAAAATAATTTTTTAAAAAAATTAGCCAGGTATGGTGGTGCATGTCTGTGGTCTCAGCTACTTGGGGGGCTGAGAGGGAGAATCTCTTGAGCCCAGGCGGTTGAGGCTGCAGTGTGCTGTGATTGCACCACTCAGCCTGGGTGACAGGGTGAGACCTCATCCCCCATCTCAAAAAAAGGAAAAAAAACAAAAAAACAGAACTTTCCTCTGAAAGCCATCTTTTCTGCATGGTGTTTTTTGTTTTGTTGTTGTTTCTTTGTTTGTTTGTTTAGAAACTGATGTTTATTTTCCATCAACCTTATTTCCATGTTGCTTAAGAGCCTGTGCAAGAACAGAAAAATATGGAACACTTCACGAATTTGCATGTCATCCTTGCGCAGGGGCCATGCTAATCTCTGTATTTTTCCAATTTTAGGATATGTGCTGCCGAGGTGAGCATGGTGTTTTTTGTTTGGTTGGTTGGTTGGTTTTGTTTTGTTTTTGAGACAGTCTCACTCTGTCACCCAGGCTGGAGTGCAGTGGCATGATCTCAGCTCACTGCAACCTCTGCCTCCCAGGTTCAAGCAATTATCTTGCCTCAGCCTCCTAAGTAGCTGGGATTACTGGTGCACGACACCATGCCCGGCTAATTTTTGTATTTTCAATAGAGATAGGGCTTCGCCATGTTGGCCACGCCGGTCTGGAACTCCTGATCTGAAGTGATCCACCCACCTTGGCCTCCCAAAGTGTTGGGCTTACAGGCATGAGCCACCACACCCAGCCAGCAAGATGTTTTTGATCATCTTGATTCCTCTAAGCTTCCCTTGGGCTGTTAGGATGAAGCCATGGATGATTGGCCTGTTAAGTAAATCAGATCTAGGTGCTGGTTCCTCAGATGTCAACTTGATGTGACCTTGGGCAAGGTCACAAGTCCTTTATCTGGGTCTTTTCCTTGAGTTAAATGGTCTTGAAGATGCTTTCCTTTTCAAACGTCTTACGTAATTTTATTTTATTTTTGAGACAGGGTCTTGCTCTGTCACCCAGGTTGGAGTGCAGTAAAACAATCATAGCTCACTGCAGCCTCAGCCTCCTGGGCTCAAGGGATCTTCCCACCTCAGCCTCTTGAGGAGCCAGAACCACAGGAACATGCCACCACTCCTGGCTAATTTTGTTATTTTTTTATTTTATTTTTTATTTTTTGGAGAGACAGAGTCTCCCTATATTGACCAGGATGGTTTTGAACTCCTGGTTTCAAGTGATCCTCCCACCTCTGCCTCCCAAAGTATTGGCATTATAGTTGTGAGCTACCTACGTAATTTTACAGCTTCAGTCCTTGCAATGTTACCCATTCCTAGGTGAGGCGGTAACAGTGCCTCAAAGGCAGGGCAATGGTCAATTCCGCGCACTGTCAGAGTGAGTTTATTTAGATGTATTCAGAGGTCAGAAAACTACTGTCATCCAGGCAAACTAGAAGAGTCTCAAGCTTGAATTGGAGCAAACCAAATGGGAGGGTTTCACAGCACCCAAAGCTAAACCTTCCTGTTTGGGCAGACTGGCCCACTCAATATCCTAGAGTAGAAAGTACCCTCTTTTAGCTGGTATGGTGGCTCACGCCTATAATCGCAGCACTTTGGGAGGCCGAGGCGGGTGGATCATGAGGTCAGGAAAGTACCCTCTTTTAGCTTTTATTTTATTTTATTATTATTTTTTTGAGATGGAGTCTCGCTCTGTTGCCCAGGCTGCAGTGCAGTGGCACGATCTTGGCTCACTGCAACCTCCGCCTCCCGGTTTCAAGCGAGTCTCCTGACTCAGCCTCCTGAGTAGCTGGGATTACAGGTGCCCACCACCACGCCCAGGTGATTTTTGTATTTTTAGTAGAGATGGGGTTTCACCATGTTGGTCAGCCTGGTCTTGAACTCCTGACCTCAAGTGATTCACCTGCCTCGGCCTCCCAAAGTGCTGGGATTACAGGCGTGAGCCACCGTGCCTGGCCTAAGCTTTTAAAGTGCAATTTTTTTCTTTTTTTTTTTAGCCTTCATTATTTGTCATATGTCCATGGTACACATACCTTTTTTCTTGAAAGGAGGCCCAATGGGTCATCCAAAAAAAGGATAAAATATCTCCTTTCCCTGCTGGGTGCAGTGGCTCATGCCTGTAATCCCAGCACTTTGGGAGGCTGAGGCAGGTGGATCACGAGGTCAGGAAATCGAGACCATCCAGGCTAACACGGTGAAACCCCGTCTCTACTAAAAATACAAAAAAAATTAGCCAGGCATGGTGGCAGGTGCCTGTAGTCCCAGATACTTGGGAGGCTGAGGCAGGAGAATGGCGTGAACCGGGGAGGTGGAACTTGCAGTGAGCTGAGATGGCACCACTGCACTCCAGCCTGGGCAACTGAGCAAGACTCTGTCTCAAAAAAAAAAAAATCTCCTTTCCCCAAATTTTGGCATCCTGGAGGACATGCCCAGTGGTCTCTTAATTGCTTCCTGTAGGTCACCTGACATCCATCTGTCTTCCCCAACACACAACAAACCCCTCAAATGAACAAAACTCTTTCCAGAGTCAATGCAGAGAATTACATGGCAAGGAAGAGTTCACAAAAAGGAGATGCCAGGATTTTGAGACAGAGTCTCACTCTGTCACCCAGGCTGGAGTGCAGTGGCGTGATCTCAGCTGACTGCAACCTCTGCCTCCCAGGATCAAGCAATTCTCTTGTCTCAGCCTCCTAAGTAGCTGGGATTACAGGTGCAGGCCACCATGCCCGGCTAATTTTTGTATTTTCAATAGGGATGGGGTTTCACCATGTTGGCCACGCTGGTCTAGAACTCCTGATCTCAAGTGATCCACCCACTTCGGCCTCCCAAAGTGTGGGATTGACTCTGGAAAGAGTTTTGTTCATTTGAGGGGTTTGTTGTGTGTTGAGGAAGGCAGATGGATGTCAGGCGACCTACAGGAAGCAATTGAGAGACCACTGGGCCTGTCCTCCAGGATGCCAAAATTTGGGGAAAGGAGATATTTTATCCTTTCCTTGGATAACCCAGGATTTTGGCTAAATATTCAGTCAATGATTACTTTTATTCAATTAAGTTTAGTAACTGAGGGTATTCAAGGACACATCAAGAAACCTCCTAGTGCCCTCCAGAAGCTCATGTCTTTAGGGGAAGCCAGACCCATAAGACCTTATAATAGACTGGGTGCAGTGGCTCACACCTGTAATCCCAGTACTTTGGGAGGCCAAAGCAGGAGGATCGTTTGAGGCCAGGAGTTAAGAGACCAGCCTGGGCAATATAGTGAGACCCCATCTATACAGAAAAATAATAATGAAATTAACCAGAAGTAGTGGCACATGCCTGTGGTTCCAGCTCCTCAGGAGGCTGAGATGGGAGGATCATTTGAGCTCAGCAGTTTGAGGTTGCTGTGAGCCATGTTTGCACCACTGCCCTTCAGCCTGGGCAACAGAGCAAGACCTTGTCTCAAACAAACAAACAAAATACACAGAAAAACCCCACATAACCTTGTAATACACACGAATAAGGGTTTAATGCAAGATCTAAATAGAATGGAGGTGTATTCTTAAGAGCTGGGCTTTTAAGAGACATATAGGCTTTTGTCAGGGTAGTAGGGGTCTTTCCAGAAGCAGTGGAGACCAGTATCTGCAGGCAAGTTTCAAATGCTGAAACAGCCATGTGCACTGGAGGACCAGAAGTTGTTGAGCATGGCAGGTTTATCTAAGGAGGAACTAGATAGGGTCTTTTGTTATTGTTGTTGTTGAGACGGAGTTTCACTCTTGTCGCCCAGGCTGGAGTGCAGTGGCATGATCTCAGCCCACTGCCACCTCCACCTCGGGTTCAAGCAATACTCCTACTTCAGCCTCCCAAGTAGCTGGGATAACAGGCTCCTGCCACCATGCCCAGCTAATTTTTTTTTTTTTTTGAGACGGAGTCTTGCTCTTGTCACCCGGACTGGAGTGCAATGGCACAATCTCAGCTCACTGTAACCTCCACCTCCTGGGTTCAATCGATTCTTCTGCCTCAGACTCCCGAGTAGCTGGAATTACAGGCTCCTTCCACCACGCCTGGCTAGTTTTTGTATTTTTAGTAGAGCCGGGGTTTCGCCATGTTGGCCAGGCTGGTTTCGAACTCCTGACCTCGTGATCCGCCCTCCTTGGCCTCCCAAAGTATTGGGATTACAGGCATAAGCCACCACACCCGGCCCTAGATAGGATCTTGAACAAGCAGCTGGAAGCCACAAATAGGGAAGAGACCATGTTAAATCTATATCCACTAAGCACTGGGGACCATGGGAAGTTACAGAATAGGGGAAGGGCTTGACCAGATCTATTTGACCAGGAGAGCTATGTGCTGGGCCAGAGGTGAGGCCAGAAACAAGAACTTCAGAACAAAAAGTATGAACTGTGTACATGGCATAGTGGCCCCAGCTGAAGAAACATCTGCAGGAAACTCTGCCTTCCCTATCTGTCTACTTTGACAAAGGAGATAGTACATTGATAGGGAGACAGAAAGTCTGAGGCTTTTGACTCTTAAACAGGTTTACTGGAAGAACCTGGACGTTAGCAAATCCTTTTGAATTGGGGTGGATCCTTTATACCTGTAGCCCTACCTGCCCAGCAGACTGAAACAAAGGTATTAGAAAAGAAGTGCTTTGAGTATGTCAGCAAGAATGAGAAGTGACAGCAAAATGCTAACCTGTAAAGGGAACCTGAGTTTCTTCATCCGCATACTGGAGATGGGAGAGGAAAATCCCATCCCTACTTTGTAAGATTGAGGTAATGTAGGGTGTAAGTACTTTGTAAGCCTCATAGAGCTGTGCAGAAGGGATTGTTATACACCAACAAAAAGTGACCTGGAGCAGGCAAGAAGCATGCTTGTCCTTACAGATAAAATCTCTTCTATTTGTCATGTCTAAGACATTATTCTTTCATAGTTTGTACCAATTACCATCTCCTGGTCTCTCAGCAAGTGTATTCAGGGTTTCTCCAATTTCTCCATAAAGTTATTTGCTCTTTAAGCTTTTAAATGGATATATAGGTATAGCACCTGAGTGCATTGGTTTTGTATCATGGGGATTTGGACACTATTTAGTAATATATTGATCCAGTGCCAGTTAGTACAGATTCAAATATTATACGTGAGACAGGAATTATAGCCCCACTTGACCTTCTGGTCCTCTCTCTCTATCTAAAAACCTAACTTTCTTGTTTCCTGCTCTACTTAGATTATATTATTATAACATGTAAAATGGACATGAAAAGAAACATAACCAGCCTTGGCAACATAGGGAGACCCTGTCTTTACAAAAAACAAAAGCAGGCCCGGCACGGTGGCTCACGCCTGTAATCTCAACCCTTTGGGAGGCCGAGGCAGGTGGATTACTTGAGGTCAGGAATTCAAGAACAGCCTGGCCAACATGGTGAAACCCCATCTCTACTAATAATACCAAAAAAAAAAAAAAAAAAAAGAAAAATGTTGTGTTAGGTATCCTCAGGTGAGATGTCAAAGGGATTTCTAACTGTGAATTTACTTTTTGCTGTTATTAAATTGAATTTGTTTATTTCCTCCTTTCCTTTAAGAACAAGTGGAGGCCGCGCGTGGTGGCTCACACCTGTAATCCCAGCACTTTGGGGGACCGAGGCGGGAGGATCACTTGAGGTCAGGAGTTCGAGAACTGGCCAACATGGCGAAACCCCGTCTCTACTAAAAATGCAAAATTAGCCTGGCGTGTTGGTGCTTGCCTGTAGTCCCAGCTACTCTGGAGGCCGAGGCAGGAGAATGGCTTGAACCCAGGTGGCGGAGGGTTGCAGTGAGCAGAGATTGCGCCACAGCACTGCAGCCTGGGCGACAGAGCAACGTCTCAAAAAAAAAAAAAAAAAAAAAAGACCAAGTGGAGAAAGACATTTGGGCGAATGATTGCAACATGCTGACTCATCTAGGGTGTCGAGAAGACCGAAGCAATTTAAAAAAGTATATTATATCAAGGGCACCGTGGAAAACAATTAAAAAGATGGGCTCCAGATGCACATGACTCCAGAGAAGCAGTTTGACTAATATTTCAACCCCATGCACCCGTTCCTCCCCAGCTAAGTTAACTGGCTGTGGTAGCCTTGATTCCAGCCTGAAAGATTTTTCTGTGTATGCTAACATTTTAGCAGTTGCTTTCCCTCTGTTTTGACTGTGACCAGGGGAGTAAAGCACCAGGTTCTTCAAATGGATTTAAGAATTTATTAGTTTTTCAGGAGATGGTGAGAAATTTACTCAAGATTCACCTTGCTGTTTAAGATAAAGTTTTCCAAAGGGAAACTTTCCAACTTTCATTTTAGTTTCATTTAATGTAGAAAAAAAGTTTTTATTTTCATGCAGTATTCTAACTTTAACAGTAGTTTGTGGTTTTCCTCCCCCCCACAGGTAGAACATTCCATGATATTTTTTACAGCATTCATTATATAGACTGGTCTTGGAGGTTTTATATGAAATATTATTGAATGACTCTGCGTGTGAACAATGAATGATAGTTTCATAAACAACCTTTAGGAGGCAGACATAGCTTCGGTTTAGCACTATAAAAACATGTCACTATACAATAGCCTGTAGAAGGTGCTACGAAAATACAAAGAAGTAAAACAAATAGATAAAACGCAATATGTAATAAAATCATGAATAAAATGATAAGAATAATACATAAAGTAAAAGGGTTTATGTGGGACTGGGTGGCATTCATGTCTGTATGAGAGACAGGGAAATAAATGGACAAGAGTGGGTGAGGGAGTATCTAGGCTACAAATCCATCTATGTATGTATGTTGTGTTGAATGGAGCTTCAGAAGCCAGAACATTTAATAGGACAGGTGGCTGATACAGGCTGCTAAATTTAGATACTCCCATTTGTTGAAGTACAACAGGTACCACCACTGCTTGTTTTAATATTTTCTCTGTGGACTTGCTTCTGTAGCATAAAGACTACCTCCCCTGGGCTTCCTTATATGGAAATAAATTATATGTAAAAATTATCAATCTCCAACTGTGAAGAGCATTTCATGTTTCTAAAAATTGTAACACTTTTTCATTGATTTTTTTTTTTTTGATAGAGATGAGGTCTTGCTATGTTTCCCAGGCTGCTCTCAAACTCTTGGCCTCAAGCAGTCCTCCCACCTCAACCTCACAAAGTGTTGGGATTACAGGTGTGAGCCACCACACCCGGCCTGGAACAATTTTTGGAAGAAAAAGAAATATTCCTCATGACCATCCTACTTGAGATAGTGAAAGCATCTGTTTTGTTTTACAAACTGAAACAGGATAGCAAGAGTCAAATACGTTTTCAGGCAGAAAGAATTTTATCAGAAGAGACATTTTGCTGGAAAATAGGTGGACTGAAAGTCTGTTGATGTGTGTAGGAAACATCATTGTTAATCCTTTGTGTGTGTAGGCACACAAGTTAAAATAAGAAACAGTAAAATTAAGTGTCATAAGGAAAATATAATAAGCAGGCATCACAATTATTAGGTACTCTTTATTGTATAGTGTATAAACGGCTCTGTAACACCATAATGACAGCACACCTAGGAGCCCACAGCTGATAGGTCCCAGAGTAAATAATTTAGCTATTGGCGTATGTCGAATAGTATTTTGTTTGGTCACAGTTTTGGGAAATCTTCCTCATTCATTTTAGATATTGAAGCTTTCTTTTTCAGGCTAGAAAAAGTTAATGTAGGCTGGGTGCTATGGCTCATGCCTGTAATCCCAGCACTTTGGGAGGCCGAGGCAGGAGGATTGCTTGAGCTCAGGAGTTCGAGACCAAACCTGGGCGACATAGTGAGACCCTGCCTCTATAAAATTTTTTAAAATTAAATTAAAAATTAAAAAAATAGGGGTTGGGGAGAGGGAGCATCAGTTAGAATAGCTAATGGATGCTGGGTTTAATATCTAGGTGCAACAAACCACCATGGCACATGTTTGCCTATGTAACAAACCTTCACATCCTGCACATGTACCCTGAACTTAAAAGCTGAAGAAAAAGAATTAAATAAAAATTAAGAATAAAGAAAAAGTTAACGTAGAGGAATGTTAATCTATGACATCAGAAAATTTTAAATAAATTTAAAATTCTTGATAGTTTATGCATGTTTCTTCTATTCGAGATAATATGCACTTAGCAAATATAAAGATGGCATTTTTCAGTCATTTTCATACACCGTGTGCCAAAAGATTCTGTATAACAGAGGTGGATTACAAAAGCAACCAACCACAATTTAACAGAAATTTAAGAAATTTAAACTTAAAGAAATCTAAACATAATTTACAGAATAATGTGTTCTAATGAGGGCTTTTTGTTTAAATAATTTTAATTGTTCTTTATATCTTCATTCTTATGAAAAAGTTTTTCAAACTTACTATAGCTGTTTTAGAATATTTGAAAACTTCAAAAAAGAAAATTTAGGCTGGGCACGGTGGCTTATGCCTGTAATCCCAGCACTTTGGGAGGCCTAGGTGGACGGATCACTTGAGGTCAGCAGTTCGAAACCAGCCTGGCCAACATGGTGAGACCCTGTCTCTACTGAATATACAAAAATTCGTCGGGTGTGGTGGTGGGCGCCTGTAATCCCAGCTACTCAGGAGGCTGAGGCAGGAGAATCGTTTGAACCTGTGAAGTGGAGATTGCAGTGAGCCGAGATCACACCACTGCACTCCAGCCTTGGTGACAAGCAAGAATCCATCTCAAAAAAAAAGAAAAGAAAATTAAAACTGAGAAAACCAGTATGAATATTTTGGCAGTTCCTTCTAGGGTTTTCTCTTAATTTCCTTTTGTTTCTCTCTCTCTCCTTCAAAGCACACATACACTTAAATGTACACAGTTGAATTGGTACTGTTGATAGTCTTATATCCTGCTTTTTCCACTTAACATTACTATGAGCATTTTTCCATGTCATTAAATATGCTTTGAATATGTTCTTGGCCACATAAAATTCCATCCTATTGATGCACCTGTTTTCTTTTAAGCAGAGACACATGCTATGCTTTCCAGTCATGGTGGACTCTCAAAAGCCAAAGAAAATACCTTGTGCTGATCTACCATAAGCCTCTTATAAACATCCATTTTTTATTTCATTTATTACATGTACCCATGGTACAAACGCACCTCTGGACACTAGATACAATCAATAGTTAATAAGCACTCTAAAAAAAATGCCAGTGAGCAGTGAGCTCTGTCCCCTTGATGATGTTTAGTCACCCACATCACTATTACAAGTATATAAGGTGTCAACAAGTGTCACAAATGCTTTTTCCATTTTGCGATAGCCCCAAATGAATTTCAATCTTTCAGGCACCCATCTCAAGAACTTCAGATTCTAACAGGGCAGTTTTGAGTTTTAATATTAAAACTTCTAATATAAACGCTACAAACTTACCATAACACCATCTTACTTTACACTTAGTTTTATGAATTTGAATAATTTTTAAATTATTTTATTTCAGTTTGTTTTCCCACCTTCAGTCAGGGGAACTGATTTAGCTTTAAAACAATCTGCCAGAAACTTTGGTTCTGACCTCTTTAAGGCTGTAACTAGTAGAAGTGATGTATCTTTAACACACACCAAGCATAAATGAACCCTTTAATCCTCAGGAGGGCACTGTGGAACTACGTTCTTAGGGTTGTCTGCTGTAGGAAGGTTCTTTTGTTACTCAGATGTGAGGGGTGCTGGGACAGGCCTCCACAGAAAACTTTTTTATTTTTATTTACTTTAAAAGACAAACCATAAAGATTTTTTTCAAATATGAAACTGAAATGTATATATTTCATAAATATTTTCATACTAAACTGAGCAAATTTAAGGATGATTAAGCTGTTTCTACTGGGAAAATCATAGGTAAGGAAACTGCTTTCACGTAGCTTTACGTACATTTGGAAAGAGCAAACCTGAACTGGGTTTTTAATCTTGTAATTTTTAAACGTACAATAATCAAGAGTTCTCAGCCCTATATTGATAGTATTTATGGTAAAACTAAATAGTTTTTTTTTAATAAAAAAAGGTATTTTAATTTGTTGACATAAAGTTGGCTTTTTTGTGCGTGCTTCTTACATGCCTTATTAACCCGGTGTGTTTAAACCAAACACTGTTCATATTTTTCCAGGAGGAAAACAAAACAATAAAAAACATTATTCAGATAAAATATTATAGGTTTATTTAAAACTTAATTCTCACCTTGAGTATGCAAAATACAAACTCCACAAAATGTTCATTTTACTTTGTAGTTTACAAATATACAAAATAGACGTTTGCTTAAATTTATATTACATATTTATTAAGGCAAGGAACTATATAGAAAAACACATTTGTTCTGCTTAAGGCATACTTGGGAATAAACCATTGTACAAATTATTGCACATCTGAAACCACAGTGCATAACAGACTGTCTGCATAAAAATGCTAAAGAAGTAAACCAGGTATATTACCTGACTTAGGTCATAAATGTTGATCGGAAGACAAATATAGATTTTCCTTGTCAAAGTATGCAGCAGTTTGAAAACTTTGGCTTCCTTGTTTGGTACCTTTAGAACCAAGACTCACCAAGCACCATCATTTAGGCTATTTAAACATGTTTTCTGTACCTGAATTTCTTCCTCTTCTTCTAACATCATAATAATGGCTTTTAGAAGGTAAAGAGAATACAAGGTGATCTTTTATGCTTATATTGCATCAATACACAATTCAAGGGAATTCTGGTCTTCCCTCCCCCAACTCACGGATATAATTTATACCCTGATATCCACAACTTCCAGTCACCCCCTTGGCATTTTGTAAGTCCAGGAATATTCAAGTCGGATTTAGAATTGGAATGATAGAAGATCCAGTCACAGACCCCATCTGTTCTTTGATTTTTGTCTTTTGGATTCCTCATTTTTCCTGATTATCCACTCACAAGATGACTCAGTTGGGAACTTGACCATGATTGTAGTGCTTTCTGGCTGGGCTCCTTCCCTCATCGGGAAGACAGTGTGAAAAGTAAAAAATACTGAATTCTCTTCTGGCAGTGTGGGTCATATCCACTGTCTGGGATTTAAAAATGCCTCTTCATGTGTAAGGCGAGGTGGTCCGACCTGGAAAATGCTCGGTCGCATTTTTGGCACTGGAACGGGCGGTGCCCCGTGTGTTTACGGTAGTGCCTGGTCAGTTCATCTGAGCGGGCGAATTTCCATCCACAGCCGTCCCAGTCACAGTGGTAAGGTTTCTCACCTGTAAAGGTAAAAGAAAAAAAAAATTGACGCTATTGCTATATCAAAGAATCGCCCCTTTTAAAAACTGAAGGCCAGATAGTAAACCAACTCTGACCCTATCCTAAAGAAATCCAGGAATGTCTTTATACCACTGAAGGGGTGTATTGAATTCCATATCATAAACAGAAATACATTCCGTGCTTAAGTATTTGGTCTTGTTTTTAGGGGGTCAGTTAAGCACACAACCACCACCTACACCTATACTAATGTTTCACCAAAAACACACAAACACCACCTAAACCTATACTAATGTTTCATTTGAGTCAAGGCATCTCAGTGGTGGAAATGAAATTTGGAAATTGTGATTGGTAGTGTGCCCAAACCATGCAATCTTATTCCTACTACGACTGGGGATAAAAAGCCACAGGTGGCTACTTTTTTTTTCTTTACCTTTACGTTACTGAATGCTGCACCTAAACGACTTTGGGTACCTACTTACATTGACATGGAAATGCTCTGCAGTGACAACCCTAAATCAGAATCTTCCCAGCAATTTTGACCATCATATTCTTGGAATTTAAAATAAAACCTTCTGCTTGTGGGGGAAAAAAAATAAAAATGTAAATCAAAACGAACAAAAAATAAAAAATAAAAAAGTAAGACCGAATTGTTACGACCAGAATTCAAAATAACAAAAAGGGAGGGTGAACCTGGGAAGGGAACATTAAAAAACGATTTTTTTAAAAAAGCCATCATGCTTTTGCATAGCAAAGTATAATTTCTTGATTATAATGCCAAGCTAGGAGAGGCCCACAGACCGCGGGGAATCTCCTGCCTTTTAAAAGCCTAACAAAATTGCACATTCAAACACAGATACCATCCATCAAGCAAAAGGCTCCTGGGCAGAAAAGTAGGCGCCGGTTTGCTGTTCTCTCCAGTGATCCCGGAGATCAAGGCGATAGACTGCCCTGGGAAGCCAAGGAGGCACTGAGGAGTGTCCACTGGTAGCCTATGGGGCTGGAAGCTAACCTGGGAAGTCAAGGAGGCACTGAGGAGTGTCCACTGGTAGCCTATGGGGCTGGAAGCTAACCCCCCTCCCTTCTGCAGTTTGTCCCCCTACCTGTGTGGGTTCGCAGGTGTGCCTTGAGATGGGAACTCTTTGTGTAGGTTTTGCCGCAGCCCGCGTAATCACAAGTGTGGGTGGCGGTCCTTTTCCGGGGCCACGATCGTCTTCCCCTCTTTGGCTTGGGCTCCTCTGGCATGCAGGAACCGGGTGGCATGAGCTCTAGGGGTGAAGAAGGTGGGGTGAGCATCATCCCGTGTGTCCCGAAGTGGGGCCAGCACACACAGGGCTCCCCAGCCCGAGCTACAAATCCCCGGGACTGACCTTGGTAATGGAGCGGCGGGACTTGCGGCTGCATCTGATCGGGCAGGAAGGATGGGTAATTGGGCCCCGGGTGGGGATGGAAGCCGGGAGGAAGCGGCAGGGCAGGGTGACAGTCCCTGCTGCTCAGCACTTCCTCAAGACCCAGGGTCGGGGTAGTCCTGCTGGGGAGCTGCCGCCCCAGGGGGAAGTCGTGTGCAGCCGGCCGGTGGCCATTGCTGAGAGGGGGTCCAGCGCCCAAGTGGGTGCACGAAGAGACCGCCTCCTGCTTGATCTTGGGGCACGTGCGCGGCGGCCCGCCGTTGTAGGGCGCCACCACCACCGGGTGGCTGCCGTCAGGGCTGCCTTTGCTGACGCTGATGACCGACGGGCTGCCGTACTCGCTGCCAGGGGCGCTCAGCGACGCCTTCAGCACGAACTTGCCCATCAGCCCGCCACCTGGCGGCTGCGGCTGCTGCGGCGGAATGTACACCGGGTCCAATTCTGGCCGCAGGAGCTCGGCCACGAAGCCGCCCGAGGGGCTCACGTCGTTGATGTCCGCCAGGTTGAAGGGAGCCGTCGGAGGGGGAGCGGACTCCCTGCCATAGAGGAGGCCTCCGCCCGTGCCGCCCGGCGCCACGCCCGGGTCGTTCCCGGCCCGGATCGGATAGGTGAAGCTGCAGGTGGAGGGCGCGCTGGCAGGGCCGCTGCTCGACGGCGACGACGAAGAGGAGGCTGACGCTGACGAGGACACGGTGGCGGCCACTGACTCCGGAGGATGGGTCAGCGAATTGGAGAGAATAAAGTCCAGGTCCAGGAGATCGTTGAACTCCTCGGTCTCTCTCCGAGGTAGGGGCGCCAGGTTGCTACCGCCGCAAGCCGCACCGGCTCCGCCGCTCTCCAGGTCTGTGGCCACGGTCGCCGCCGCCAGGTCATAGGGGCGGCCGGGAAGCACTGGGGGAAGTCGCTTCATGTGGGAGAGCTCCTCCCGCCAGCGCTGCGGGGACAGGGCGGGAGAGACCTGTCAGTGGTGGTCCCCTGTTGCCACCCGACATACTGACGTGCTGGCGGGCCACGCGCGACTGCACCGCCCAGACATGGGGACTGGTCAGGCAGGAAGCACCCGGGAACCCAGGGCGCCAGCGCTGCAATCTCGGCCCACTCCCGGGTCGAAGAAGAGGTGATGCGTCTGTATTGCGGGTGTTATGTCCTGTCTGCCCAATTGCGTGTGAGCGAGCGCCGCGGCTGGTCCCTCCCCCTCCAGGTCCCGTGGACGTCCCCGGAATTGGCACACCGAGGCTCTCTCGGTGCGCTCTCGCCACGGGGCCGCCTACGCGCTAAACTCACTCTGGCCCAGCCAGTGTCTGGGGACGCGGCCACCTCCCGCCCGGTGGCCCGAGAGCGCCCGCCCTACCGACAGCGCGCCCGGGGACTGGTGAAGACCCGGCTTGCGCCCCAGGCGGCTCCGCAGTGCTCGCACCACGGGCATACACAGCTGAGCCAAGGACACGGAAGCTATCCCGGGAAGGTTGCGGAGTCCGCGCGGTGGCCGCTCCTTACCCTCGTTCAGTGGCTCTTGGTGACCCCAAGGCTCCGCCCGCCCCCACCACACCCACGAAAACCCACCGGGCGTTCCCGGCGGCCCGGAGCGATACTCACGTTATTCGGGGCACCTGCTTGACGCAGTGTCTTCTCCCTTCCCGCCGGGCCAGACGCGAACGTGGAGAAAGATGGGAGCAGCGCGTCGCTGACAGCCATGTCAGACTCGCCAGGTGGCTGCCTGCGAGCAAGGCAGGGAGCGGAGACAGGAGAGTCAGGGGCGGCTTTCGGCCGTCGTTCCGGCGCGTCCCACCGGTCCTCACCCCTCCCTGCTCCCAGCGCCGCGCGCCTCACCTACCTCATTAATGTGGGGGCCCAGAAGGTCCTCGGCAGCCCGAAGCAGCTGGGGCACCTGAACCCCAAAGTCAACGAAGAGAAGAAACGAAGCCAAAACCCAAAACCCCAAATTGGCCGAGATCCTTCTTCTTTGGATTAAATATAACTTGGAAGCGTCTTTTTTAAAAAGTTCCTTTGTATACAAAAGTTCTTAGAAAAGTTGTAAACGCAAAAATAGACAATCAGCAAGGCGAGTAAGTAGGTCCGGTGGCCGGGCTGCGCTCTCTTCCACTCAGCAGCGTCCCCCACCACTGTCGCGGTCGCCTCGAGTGCTGCCGTGGGCGCAGGGGCTGTGGCCGGGGCGGTGGGCGGGCGGTGCCGCCAGGTGAGACTGGCTGCCGTGGCGCGGAGCTGCGAACTGGTCGGCGGCGCAAGGCGCGGACTCCGGTGAGTTGTGTGGAGCGCGCGCGGCCATGGGCGCGGGCCACGGGCGGGTGGGAGGGTGGGGGGCCAGAGGGGCGGGGGAGGGTCACTCGGCGGCTCCCGGTGCCGCCGCCGCCCGCCACCGCCTCTGCTCCCCGCGCGCCCGCAGACACGTTCGTTCTCTCTGGTCGGGAAACTGCCGGCCGCCGGCGCGCGTTCCTTACTTATAACTTCCTTCGCTACAGCCTTTTCCTCCGCCTTCTCCCATGCCCCGCCCCTCCCTTTCTTCTCTCCGCCCCCCCCGAGGCTCCCTTCCATCGTTGCTATGGCAGCTAAATCAACAAACTCGGCGCACGTGGGGGCGGGGGAGGGGAAGGAGGGGCGCGGGCGGGGCTGGGCCGGGCCGTGACGCCAGCCAGGCAGCTGGCGGGCTGGAGCCGAGCTGACGCCGGCGGCAGTGGTGTCGGCGGCGGCGGCGGCGTCCGCCCCAGCGCGGGGCGCGAGGAACCGGGCGCAGGTTCGGTCGCTGCGCGACCAGGGCCGTACTCACCGCCATTGTCGGCTCCCTGGGTTCGAAGCCCGCGAAGACTGGTGGGGTCAGCGGGCGGCACGGTCACGCGTCCGCACCCCTGCTAGCATACGCGCTTGCCGCGCTGTCTGCGCGCTGGAGAAGAGCGCGATTATCCGCGTGACTCATCCAGCCCTCCATCTCCCCCTCCCTCTCTGCGCTCGCAGGAGTCCGCTCTCGTCGCTCAGCGCCAGTGCCGGTGGCGGTGCCGGCGCTCGGCCTGACCTCGCACGGTTCCTCGCGGGCCCTTCTGCTGAGGGGTGGGGGGCGCTAGGGGTGTGGAGAGGAGGCAGTGCCCAGCACTGTGCAGCGTGAACTGGGAGCCTCAAGAGAAGGCCAGAGGAGTGTTCCGCCGGGAACAGGCGGAAAGAGGCACGAATGGGGAGTTATGGTTTTGATACTTTAAATAGCGAGAAAGGGAGTGAAAGGGCTCAAGATTTACTCAGAGGCATAAGGGAGAGAAGAGGGACTGTGAGGCGCGGAGACAGTTTTCAACCAGCCATCTCGAAGCCCTTTCCTTTTTTTTTCTTTCTTTTTTTTTTTTTTGTGAGACAGAGTCTCGCTGTGTCGCCCAAGCTGGAATGCAGTGGCACGATCTCAGCTCAGTGCAACCTCCGCCTCCTGCGTCCAAGCGATTCTCCTGCGTCAGCCTCCCGAGTAGCGGGGATTACAGGCGTGCGCCACGACGCCGGCTAATTTTTGTATTTTTCGTGGAGACGGGGTTTCACCATGTTGGCCAGGCAGGTCTCGAACACCTGACCTCAAGTGATCAGCCTGCCTCGGCCTCCCGAAGTGCTGGGATTACAGGCGTGAGCCACTGCCTGTAATATTTGATGACTAAATTGCACTGTAGAATAATAATAATAATAGAAGACACCCATTAAAGAAGAATTAAACACTCACTGATGACTTTTCAAGCCACGCACTCTCCTTTCCACTTTATGGATGAGAAATTGAGTCATAAAGAGGTGAAATGGCCAGTAAAGGTCAAAGGACAACTCGTTCCTTCGGCTCAGGCTCCGGGTAGGTCAGGCCCCCCTAAAGGGACTTCCCTGGGAAGTGACCATGTGCCAGGAAGTGGAGCGATGCGGTGGGATCCTAGCTCTCAAAAAGTGCACACCGAGCCCGCCGCAGGCGTCCTTGCCCACCGGGAAGGGAATAGGAAACGGCGATCTTTACTTCAATCTTATAACGCTGCCTCCCCCACCCCCACTCTCCCCTTGGTTTGTGATCAGTAATTTTCCAGCTGGGAAATGTTTTGCTCTCATCTTCTTAGCAAACAGTATTTTTTTTTAAAACGTGAATGTGGTGTTCGGTATCACTTTCTAAACGTAGGTTTGGCGAGGTGTTTACTTTGGATTCCGGCGTTCGGCGCGGGACTCCGCCCCCCTCTCCACGGAGCCCCCTCACCGGCGAACGCTGGCGCTTAGGCTGGTGTCAACCTAGGAAAGAGAAGAGAGGGGACACTGGGGAAAGTGGTGGAAGCTCGGGCACCGGGCAGAGAGTGCGCTCACCCCTTTTTGAGTTCTAGTTGCCAATGTCCTTTGTCGTTGTCACCTGTTTGAACCCTGCGATTCTGGTACCTATTAGGTTTCCTCAGAATATTTGTGATACCTGATTTTTCCACTCCTCGCCGACCACAGAAGCATTCTTGGAATGCATCTCGCCCCGAATGAATTGACTCGGCCCTCCCTGCCAACGCCAGGAATCCCTCTAAGATCCAGAGTCGGACGCCCTTGAGTGTGACTTCCATCCTCTAGCTTGGCTCTGGCCAAGGGCTGCCAGGGTTGCAGCTGGGGGATGAGAGTGTTTTGGCAGGGAAACCGAGGTCCTCCTTCCTATGACCTCGAGGAGTTCAACCCCACCCCCCTATATAGGATCAGGCCAGTTACTTTAACTCTGATTTTTACTTTAAGCCCTTTTCAAACGGAGGAACCAAAAAAGGAAGACACCTGCCACTTCCTCCCCTACTCCTTTAATTGTGATGGCAACATCTTGGGATGCTGTGATTTGAGGGCTGCATGGGAAACTCACCACTTTTTCAGGAAAGCCAAAGTCCCTCACCCTGGATGAACAGTGGATGAGCCCTTGATTGGCAGCCATCTCCCTTGGGATGTAAACGTGGGTCAGGACTTGGAATTTCCAACTTAGGTAGGCAGCACACTAGATTATTTCTGCTTTACTTTTATTTCTCTAAGGCAGTAGCCCTTCCCCCTCAAAAAAAAAACTATCTGTAACCACCACAATGAAAAAACAATATTGCACAGAAGAATTGGAAAGCCACCATTATTATGTCACATAATCAAGACAAGATTCTGAAACTCGATTGAAAAAGATGAACTTGTTTCCAACCGGCCTTCTGAAGGATAAAAGCCAGTCTCTCTTCGTGGCAGGCAACTAGCTGGTTATTCCTCTGATTGCGTCACAAAGGGAAATCTGTATATTCACCCCAGATTTCTAAAAGAAGCAAGAAACTTCAAGTTCACAAATCATCTCTCAAGGCAGGTGCCCTGTATGACAACAAGGTTATGGCCCTCCCTGTCTTCAGAACAGGTAGGGCCAGAAGACTTAAATCCTTGCCCTATATAATTTATAAACATGAGGCTGAGTAAACCTTTGATGACTAAATTGCACTGTAGAATAATAATAATAGAAGACACCCTTTAAAGAAGAATGAAACACTCACTGGTGACTTTATTTCAGCAAACTGATATTACTAGTTTTGTGGACTAGAAGTTAATTATTAATGTCCTTGGAGTTATAAAATAATTTTTTTTCCAGCACAAACTGCATTAGTTGTCAGAAGATGTGATGAACACCATTAGTGCTAGGGGATTAATGTGGAGCCATGGAGGGGTGTGATAGACTGAAGAAGCTGCATCCATGTTTCAAATGAAAGATTCAGCACCCATAACTGGGTATGGGGTCTGGACACATAGAGCACCCCGTGACCTGGCTGCACCCTGGCTGGGTGTCTCTGCATAACTGCCGCAGGACTCAAGAAAAACTCAAAAAAAAAAAAACTTTTTTTTTTTTTTGAGACAGAATCTCACTCTGTAGCCCAAGCTGGAGTGCAGTGGCGTGATCTTGGCTCACTGCAACCTCCACTTCCAGGGTGGAGGTGGAAGCAGTTCTCATGCCTCAGCCTCCAGAGTAGCTGAGACTACAGGCGCGTTCCACCATGCCCAGCTAATTTTTTGTATTTTAGTAGAGATGGGGGTTTCACCATGTTGCCCAGGGTGGTCTCCAACTCCTGAGCTCGGGCGATCCACCCGCCTCCGCCTCCCAAAGTGCTGGGATTACAGGCATGAGCCACTGCGCCCTGCCTGAAAAACTGCTTTTTAAAAAAGTGAAAACAAGAGATAGATTTTAAGTACCCGAATTGCTTTGAAATGAAATCCCTGCTAATAAATAACTGTAAAAGGAGCTTGCAGCTTTCACAAGGTGGCAAAGCTTTTCTCAGTCTCCACCCTCATCTCCTTGTGAACTCCAGCCTCTTTTTTTTTTAAATTTTATTATTATTATACTTTAAATTCTAGGGTACATGTGCACAACGTGCAGGTTTGTTACATATGTATACATGTGCCATGTTGGTGTGCTGCACCCATTAACTCGTCATTTAGCATTAGGTATATCTCCTAATGCTATCCCTCCCCCCTCCCCCCCGCCCACAACAGTCCCCAGTGTGTGATGTTCCCCTTCCTGTGTCCATGTGTTCTCATTATAGACCAATGGAACAGAACAGAGCCCTCAGAAATAATGCCGCGTATCTACAACTATCTGATCTTTGACAAACCTGACAAAAACAAGCAATGGGGAAAGGATTCCCTATTTAATAAACGGTGCTGGGAAAACTGGCTAGCCATATGTAGAAAGCCGAAACTGGATCCCTTCCTTACACCTTATACAAAAATTAATTCAAGATGGATTAAAGACTTAAATGTTAGACCTAAAACCATAAGAATGCCAGCCTCTTTTTACCCTCTGTCTTGTGTAGACTTTAGAGGTTAGGAAAGTAGGCTTTGACTCTGTGTTTCCCAACATGACTCTGCTGCTTTCTAGCTGGGCAAGTTACTGACCTCACTTTGCACTTTGCCTGTTTCCTCTTCTGTAAAATGGGGATATTAATAATGCCTACTTCTTAGAGTGATGAGGATCAAATCAGATAATCTAAAGTAAAGTATTTAGCACAGACTTAACACTCAACACATAGTAGCTATTACTATCATCAGTATTCCCCAGGGTATCATAAACATGATGAGGCTGAGGCTACTGTTTTGTTCACTGCTATATCCCCAAGTCCTATTATAGTGCCTACCTAGCACATGGTAATGCCCTGTAAGTGTTTGTTGAGTGAATGAATAATGCATATTTAATGTGTTTTTTCTTTTTGAATAATCCATTAGCAGGAAGCTCATCTTTCAGCATCCACTGTAGACTCATTAATCCTCTTTCTTATCAAGAACCGCAACACACCCAGATTTAAAATTTCGTCATTCTCTCCCCGGTTTCTAAGACAGAAACCTAGATTTTCTTCAACTCCTGCCTTATTTTCTTTGACCTGAGCATCCAGACATCTACAAAACTCAGCCATTTCCATTCCTAAATATCCCCACTATCTTTTTACTACTCTCGGGCTGCTTTGGTTTAAGCTTGCCTCATTTACAGCTTTTTGTTGTTGTTGTTGTTGTTTTGAGACGGGTCTCATTCTATTGCCCAGGTTGGAGTGCAATGGCACTATCTTGGCTCACTGTAACCTCCACTGCCCGGGCTCAAGCGATCCTCCCACCTTAGCCTCCCGAGTAGCGAGTATCTTGTGGCACTGATTCTTTTTTTTTTTTTTTTATTTTGATAGAGATTTCGTCATGTTGGCCAGGCTGGTCTCAAACTCCTGTGTTTAAGCCATCCACCCACCTCGACCTCTCAAAGTGCTGGGATTACACACGTAAGCCACTGTGCCCAGCCTCATTTACAGATTTAATTATGTCTGTACACTCCAAATAGTCCTCTTGTCTCCTCCCTCAGAGCCCCACTGGCATTCTCCAGCTAGATCTAATCCATTTTGCTAACAGACCACCACAGTTCTGTCTCTACTCACCTCCCCACCAGCCAGTCTTTCAACAGCTCCACTTTGCCTAGAGGAATAAAACCAAACTGTTTGGCTTGATGTACCCAACACTTACTACTCTGGCCCTAGACAAACTTTCCAGAATCTTCTCTAGAGACTGACCTCACCCTCTCTAAACTCTTAACTGGATGTTCTCTCAAATCCCTGAATACAGGATGTGTATTTTCATCAGCTGTTTTTCCTGTCTGAAATGCCCTTTCTCCCCTCAGGGCCCTCATCGTACCCAAACTCCAAAAAGTCCCTCTTAATTGTTCCTTGGTCTATGAGTTCCCTTTTAAGCCAGTCCTTTTTTCTCTGAGCTCTAACAAAGCTGTGTAATGACTGCTAGGATGTTTACCCAGTGGACTTGCATGATCTGGTTGTTTGTAGCTCCTGTTCCCCTATGGCATCTTCAGGACAAATGCCCAATGACCATTAATTGTAGAATGAATGAAGAGAGCAAAACTGACTTGGTAAACTATTAATGGGGTAGAGGCAGGGAGGGAGTCAGGGGACCTGGTCCTTGTCAATAGCATTTCTCTCTAGTTGAGAGGGTCATTGGTTTGGTACTTCATTTTCCATCCCTTCTCTTTCTTCACCACTTCATCTCTTTCTTTGAAAAGTTCTATGAAGGAAAACTTTTCAAAGAAAGTTATGAAGGAAATAAAATCCTTCATAACTCTGTACTCTCAAAAACAGTTGGACAAAGTAATAGAACAGTGCTGGCCAAGGCATTGTAATAAAACAAACTTGAAAACACAAACAAAAATAACCAAAATCCAAACCAAAACCAAATGGAGAAAGAGTCCACTCTTTTCTGCAGCCAAATTCATTGCCTTTCAAAACCCAAACCTTAAGGGTTGAAGTTTTTAGAGCAGAAAATGAATCACAGACATTTAAAAATCAATTCTCAGAAATTTCATTAGAATCTTTTTCGTGAACCCTTAGGTTTGATCACTTAAGTTACATTCTTAGCTCAAAAAACTTAGGCCCAATACATCCTTTAAGCTATTTAAAAATAAAATCTAAAATTAATGAAATTATTTTCAAGACTTTTGAAATATTCTGACTGCAATATATTAAATTCAGCTTTTCAGTGTCCTCAACTTGTTCTGAGATATTAAAAAGGATACAAAAAAAATCCCTCTTTTTAGGTTGCTGATTTTTTTTACTTTATTTATTTATGTATTTATTTATTTTTTAATAAATAAATGAGTCACCACACCCGGCCAGGTTGCTTATTTTTAAATGTCTGTTTAAGCAGAGAGAAATATTTTTTAATGGCTCACACCTGTAATCTCAACACTTTGGGAGACCGAGGTGGGTGAATCACAAGGTCAGGAGTTCAAGACCAGACTGGCCAACATATAGCGAAACCCCATCTCTACTAAAAAATACAAAAATTAGCTGGGCGTGGTGGCGCATGCCTGTAGTCCCAGTTACTTGGGAAGCTGAGTCAAGAGAACAGCTTGAACCCAGGAGACGGAGGTTGCAGTGAGCCAAGATCGCACCACTGCACTCCAGCCTGGGCAACAGAGCAAGACTCCGCCTCAAAAATAAAAAAAGAAATATTTTGTAAGAGTGAGGTACATCTCAGTAGTATTTCCCTTAACAAAACATTTTGTAAGAGTGAGGGGCATCTCAGTAATATTTTCCTTAATAAAAGAAATTGCAGGCTAGCATTTACCATCTTCGTAGAGCATGACTCCAATACTATATGCATTTGAAACACATTTAAAAGTAAATGAACTAGCAAATTTTAAAAGTATTTAAATTTTAATGAAAGAATAAAAGTACTTAAATGAACCAGCAAAGAAGTCAGTGGGCAGAGAAAAACCTGTTGCTGGAATTTTCTTCTTCACTTGGTTCACCAAGTTTTGCCTGCTTCCCCTGGGGGAGAATTATCTCTGAAAAGAGAACCAAGAGTCTACTTCCTTTATTTAAAAGCCTCAGTGCCTCAGATTCTTAGACTAAGACAACGTCGTTCTTCTGAGGAAAACAAAGTCCCTAGGTTTAGATTGGATTGGAGGTAACATTTTTGTTTTATGGAAAATGTAGGAATGTTGAAGGTACAAAAATGAATGCTTCACACCCTGAGAAATGCAAACAAGAAAAAAACAATTCTGTGTTTAATTCTCTTTCAGTTTGTGGGCTGGACAAGAGGGGAGCTTATTTTTGCCAATTTGAAATTATGTACTTTGAGCCAGGGAAATGATTTAAAAAAAAATTAAGAATGCATTTTATTACCCTGTAGTTGACTTTTTTTTCACAAACATTGTGTTTGTTAATCAATTTTAATGTCCTGGCTAGTGGGAAGGGGGCTAGCGAGTGCCAATGTGGAGGAAAAAAAAAAAAAAAAAAGCCAAACGAATGTTCTGGCAGCAACTAAATATCTCATACAGTGTGTGATGCCTTATTCAAACTCGAATCTAGATGCAAACTCCTCTTATATCCAGGGATGACCAGAAGCTTCTTAAAGGGGGAAGCCCCTGGAATAGTTACCTAATCTTAGAAGAATTCCCAGCATTATCATTGATAATAAAAAAGGTAATCTAGTGAAAGAGTGAACTTGGTCTATGGTGTCAGTTATTGATGAATTTTTCTGGTTGCTACATTTACCTAACAGTTCTCAGAGCAAAGTGTTGAATTTCAATGTTCTGATGTTTCATTCAGCAAACTCAGTTTTCCATTTGAAAAGAAGCTCATTTGGGTTTCTTTAAAGACAAGACAATATCTTTGGTCTATCTGAGTGCAGATTAGAGTGTCCTTGTCTGACTTTAATTCTTAGAGCCATCTTGCCGTAACTCAATTAAGGAGGAGAACTTGACAGAATTCTCTGGGCTGTGGGAGAAGAAATGACAGGGATGAATAGTGCACAGACTCTGGGGGCATAGGTAGGATCTGCCACGCAAGGGTTTGGACTCCAGGCCCTGAGTTGCATCTTACAAGCCAGGTGACCTTGGACAAGCTACATCATCTAGTTGCACTGTACTTTCCTTGTCTGCAAAATGGGTCTACGAATGTACCTGCTTCCAAGGCCAGTGTGAGCATTAAGTGAGATACTGGCATTAATGTTAGTGTGTCCCCTCTACCAGTGAAACCTTACACAGTTAATCCCCCTTTGATAACTTCAAATTGGTCCTGCAGTATTCAGCACTGGAAGATGATATAATATCTTGGTTTGAAGAGTGAAATGCTTTGTCACAGTATTTTCTTTCCCCAAAATATTTCAGTGTCACTACAGATCCACAACCAAAGACCAGGCTCACAGAAAATCTCACAAAGACACTGTTTTAAGTAGGGAAGGTATACATTAACCTGGGAATCTCACTTCCTAGGGTCACTCCATGACTTGCAAAGGCCTTTTGTGGCTATGTCAAATCCCTAAAGACAGTGACCTTGACCCTTGATAAGCCAGTCAAGAGTTAGGTTGGACGAAAGATAATTTCAAAGTCAAATTCAACATTGAAGAATTCTATAGTCATTGACAGTGTTAGCAAAGTTCTAACCTTGTCTTTCCTAGAAGGGTACTGAAAGGGTCTGCTGGGTTCTCCCTCCAGGAAAAGGAGGGAGCAGGGACCTTCAAATTCATTAACATCACTGCTCTCAGACGCTGTACCAGGTAACTGCGATAAGTACTTTCATGCATTAAGTTACTTGTCTTCACATTACTTCTCTGAGGTTGGTGCTGCCATTGCTGCTAGAATGCAGGCTTCAGGGGGCAGAGACGCTGCCTGTGTGTGTATATTTTAAAATATACTCTTTTTGTGTGTGTATATTTTAAAAACTGATATATCACAGTTGTATGACTTTCTTTTTATTTTTTATGTTATTTTTATTTATTATTATTATTATTTTGAGACAGAGTCTCACTCTTGTTGCCCAGGCTGGAGTGTAGTGGTGTGATCTCGGCTCACAGCAACCTCTGCCTCCCAGGTTCAAGCGGTTCTCCCGCCTCAGCCTCTTGAGTAGCCGGGACTAGAGGACGCGCCACCCTGCCCAGCTAATTTTTTTTTTTTTTTTGAGACAGAGTCTTGCTCTGTAGCCCAGGCTAGAGTGCAGTGGCGCAATCTCGGCTCACTGCAGCCTCTGCCCCTCGGGTTCCAGTGATTCTCCTGCCTCAGCCTCCTGGGTAGCTGAGATTACAGGCGCATGCCACCATGCCCGACTAATTTTTTTTTTTTTTTTTTTTTTTTTTTTTTGAGACGGAGTCTCGCTCTGTCGCCCAGGCTGGAGTGCAGTGGCGGGATCTCGGCTCACTGCAAGCTCCGCCTCCCGGGTTCACGCCATTCTCCTGCCTCAGCCTCCCAAGTAGCTGGGACCACAGGCGCCCGCCACTACGCCCCGCTAATTTTTTTGTATTTTTAGTAGAGACGGGGTTTCACCGTTTTAGCCGGGATGGTCTCGATCTCCTGACCTCGTGATCCGCCCGCCTCGGCCTCCCAAAGTGCTGGGATTACAGGCGTGAGCCACCGCGCCCGGCCCATCCCGACTAATTTTTGTATTTTTAGTAGAGACAGTGTTTTACCATGTTGGTCAGCCTGGTCTCAAACTCCTGACCTCAGGTGATCCCCCTGCCTCAGCCTCCCAAAGTGTTGGGATTACAGGCGTGAGCCACTGTGACCAGCCATTACTTTCTTTTTAATCATAAGTTTTTGTTTTATTTTGTTTTGTTGCTTGAGATAAGGTCTTGCTCTGTTAGCCAGGCTGGAGTGCAGTGGCGCAATGATGGCTCACTGCAGCCTCGAACTCCCTGGCTCAAGCAATCCTCCTATCTCACCATGCTTAGTAGCTGGGACCACAGACATGTACTACCACACCCAGCTTATTTTTAAATTTTTTTGTAGAGACAGGGTCTCACTGTGTTGCCTAGGTTGGTCTTGAACTCCTGGGCTCAAGCAATCCTCTTGCCTCAGCCTCCCAAAGTGCTGGGGTTACAGGCGTGGGCCACCTCACCTGGCTGACTTACTTTTTTTTTTTTGACCTGTCAGCAGGAAGTAACTGACTTATTTTTATTACAGAATGTAATACAGTTTGCTGGCACATAATAGGTGCTCAATACATACTTGTTTAATACATAAACCCCATTTTACAGTTTTAAAAAAACTGCAATATTAGCTAGGCATGGTAGCTCATGCCTGTAATCCCAGCACTTTGGAAGGCCGAAGTGGGTAGATCGCCTGAGGTCAGGAGTTTGCGACCAGCCTGGTCAACATGGTGAAACCCTGTCTCTACTAAAAATACAAAAAATTAGCTGGGCATGGCGGCGGGCGCCTCTAATCCCAGCAACTCAGGAGGCTGAGGCAGAAGAATCACTTGAACCCAGGAGGCGGAGGTTGCAGTGGGCTGAGATCGCGCCATTGCACTCCAGCCTGGGCAACAAGAGCGAAACTCCTTCTCAAAACAAAACAAAACGAACAAAATTAGCCGGGCGTGATGGTGTGCACCTATAATCCCAGCTACTTGGGATTGAGGCAGAGAATCGCTTGAACCTGGGAGGCGGAGGCTGCATCGAGCCAAGGTCATGCCACTGCACTTCAGCCTGGGTGACAGAGGGAGACTCCATCTCAAAAAAATAAATTAATAAAAATAAAAATAAAATAAAAACAACCAAATAAACTGCAGTATAGAGTGCTTAAATCCAGCCCAGGATTGTGCAGCTAAGTAAGGGAGTTAGCCAGTGTCTCCTGGAGCCCACCCAGAGGAGGAAGCCTGCTGTATGACTGCTCTCTGAGTAACCTATCCTCAGCTGTGCCTGGCTTCTCTGAGTTCAGAGCCCCTGGATCGAGTTCCCCAGAGAGTAAACCTCTAACCTTCTGTCCAGGCTGGGGGAAAAGCAGTCACCCAGCTGAACAGGGCTAGTGAGGAATCTTGGGGCCTGTATGTACGTATGGGTGGATGGATGGATGGATTGTGTAACTGCTTGAGATATATATATATATATAATTTTATTTATTTATTTGAGATGGAGTCTCACTCTGTCGCCCAGGCTAGAGTGCAGTGGCATGAGCTCAGCTCGCTGCAACCTCCACCTCCCAGGTTCAAGCAATTCTCCTGCCTCAGCTTCGCTCATAGCTGAAATTACAGGCACGCGCCACCATGCCTGGCTAATTTTTTTTTTTTTTTTTTTGAGAGGGAGTCTCACTCTGTCGCTTAGGCTGGAGTGCAGTGGCACGATCTCGACTCACTACAACCTCCGCCTCCCGGGTTCAAGTGATTCTTCTTCCTCAGCTTCCCAAGTAGCTGGGACTACAGGCATGTGCCGCCATGCCCAGCTAATTTTTTTGTTTGTTTGTTTGTTTGTTTGTTTTGAGAAAGAGTTTCACTTTTGTTGCCCAGGTTGGAGTGCAATGGCTTGATCTCGGCTCACCGCAACCTCTGCCTCCTGGGTTCAAGCGATTCTTCTGCCTCAGCCTCCAGAATAGCTGGGATTACAAGCATGGGCCACCATGCCCGGCTAATTTTTTTGTATTTTTAGTAGAGACGGGGTTTCTCCATGTTGGTTAGGCTGGTCTCAAACTCCCAACCTCAGGTGATCCGCCCGCCTTGGCCTCCCAAAGTGCTGGGATTACAGGCGTGAGCCACTGCACCTGGCGCGCCCAACTAATTTTTGCATTTTTTAGCAGAGACGGGGTTTCACTATATGTTGGCCAGGCTGGTCTCGAACTCCTGAGCTCATACAATCCGCCCGCCTTGGCCTCCCAAAGTGCTAGGATTACGGGCATGAGCCACCGCACCCGGTCTGTTATTTCATTTTTTAAATGTACATTTTTTTTTCTGGTTTCAAAATGCGTGCTTATTTTAAAAAAAATAAATCAATACGGCTGGGCATGGTCGCTCACGCCTGTAATCCCAGCACTTTAGGAGGCCAAGACAGGTGGATCATGAGGTCAGGAGTTCGAGACCAACCTGGCCAACATGGTGAAACTCCGTCTCTACTAAAAATACAAAAATTAAGCCGGGCATGGTGGTGGGCACCTGTAATCCCAACTACTTGGGAGCCTGAGGCAGAAGAATCGTTAGAACCCGGTGAGCCAAGATCATGCCATTGCACCCCAGTCTGGGCGACAAGAGCGAAACTGTCTCAAAAAAAAAAAAAAAGAAGTGATGTGTCAGGGTTTCCTGTGTCATTGCTGTCTGATGCAGGGAAGGAGGCTTGGACTTGACTAGGAGTTAGGACTTGTGTTTTCTTGTCCCAGCTCTGCCAATGTGTGGCATGGGTAAGTTACCTCTGTTCCCTAGGCCCCTTTCATCTGTGCAAAGTGGAGGCTTCCAATTATATTCTAATAATGTACAATTTCCATATCTTCAGAGTTTCAAGGAAGTGCAAACTAACTGCCATGAAAGTTTCACCAGCCAAAAGCTGATTATGTAGATGTTAACATTTGAAAGATTAAGATCATAATATTCGGTACTGGTTAGTACGTAAGGAAACCAACATGTTGATATCTTGCTGATGAGAATGTAAACTGATGTAAATTTTTTGAGGAACAATTTGAAATGGTTGAAATGTAAATCAATTTCTATGAATTGAGCCTAAGGAAATAAGTGAATAAGAGTACACATGGAAATTCTGTAGTAATGAAAAGTTGGAAACAATCTAAATGTCCATCGAAAGGAGATTGGGCTGGACATGGTGGCACATAACTGTAATCCCAGCACTTTGAGAGGCCAAGGTGGGAGGATCCCTTGAGTTCAGGAGTTCCAGACCAGTGTGGGTAACATAGTGAGAACTCATCTCTACAAAAAGTAATGAACCAGATGTGATGGCAAGAACCTGTGGTCCCAGCTACTCAGGAGATTGAGGTGGGAGGACCACTTGAACCCAGGAGGTCGAGGCTGCAGTGAGCCATGAGCATGCCACTACAGTCCAACCCAGGCAACAAAGCAAGGCCCTATGTAAATAAATAAATAAATAAATTTTATTATTTTCACATATGTATAAAAAATGTGAAGACTTATACTTCAAACTGAATTGTGGTCATATCTGGAGAGGCAGGCTGCGGATTTTATTTAAAATACACATGTATTGATTTATTGATTTTTTTTTTTGAGACAGAGTCTCTATCGCCAAGGCTGGAGTGTGGTGGCTTTGTCTCGGCTCACTGCAACCTCTATTGCCCGAGTTCAAGCAATTCTCCTGCCTCAGCCTCCCTAATAGCTGAGATTACAGGCACCCTGTAGTCTGGAACTCCTGACCTCAGGTGATCCACCTGCCTCAGCTTCCGCAAACTGTTGGGATTACCGGCGTGAGCCACCGCACCTGGCCCTGACACTTTACTTTTATGAGCCCATCTACCTTTTGAAACCAGAAGCATGGACCTCAGAAGAGGGTGAAAACCAACTTTTTTTTTTTTTGAAACGGAGTCTCTCTCTGTCACCCAGTCTGGAGTACAATGGCACAATGTCGTCTCACTGCAACCTCCGCCTCCTGGGTTCAAGCCATTCTCTTGCCTCAGCCTCCTGAGCAGCTGGGATTACAGGCGCCCGCCACCATGCCCGGCTAATTTTTTGTATTTTTAGTAGAGACAGGGTTTCACTGTGTTGGCCAGGCTGGTCTCAAACTCCTGACCTCGTGATCCACCCGCCTTGGCCTCCCAAAGTGCTGGGATTACAGGCGTGAGCCACCGCGCCCAGCCGAGAACCAACACTTTTAGAGAACCTTTAAAAAGCCTGAAACTTCCCCATATACTTTGCATATGTTATACCCAAAATAATCCTGCAAAGTAGGTATTATTATTATTATTTTATTAATTTTTAGAGTCAAGGTCTCACTCCATTGCCTAGGCTGGAGTGCAGTGGCATGATCATAGCTCACTGCAACCTCAAATACCTAGGCTCAAGTGATCCTCCCCTTTCAGCTTCCTGAGCAACTAGGACTTCAGGAAGCCACCATTAAGCCTGGCTACTTTCAAAAAGTTTTTTGTAGAGATGGGGTCTCGCAGTGTTGCTCAGGCTGGTCTCAAACTCCTGGCCTCAAGCAATCCTTCTACCTCAGCCTCCCAAAGTGCTGAGATCACAGGCGTGATTCACTGTGCCTGGCCTAAAGTTTATTAATTCTATCACACAGAGGAGGAAATGAAAGAACTGGAGATGAAATTGATCAAATTAGTAATCTCCAGCCAGTCCTGAGGAGATTTAGCACTGGGCAGTGTTCGAGTTGGATTTAAGAAGAGGCAGAGTGGTACCACCAGTTTGCCCCACGTGGGTAAGGGAGAGATTTTCTGGCAAGACTGAAGACATTCTGATACCCTCCTCTCCCCTAACATACACTTACTCAGGTGTAAGAGTAATTCAGGCATAAGAGTCAGCAAAAACACTTTCTCAAGACGCTGTCTAGCTGTCTCAGGATCTTGTCCTGCTCAGGGTTGAGCACAAGGAGAACACAATCCTTGCTGGCCGGGCCCTGTTCTGGAATGACTGAGCTGTCCAGCATGGCCAGTGTGTAAATGTCAAGTAAACACCAAATTCAAGTGCAATCTAACTATTGTGCTGGGACTGTTTGTTTTAGATATAATAGTCAGCAGGAAGGGAGAAGGGGAGGGAGGGGGAAAGTATATATCACTTCACAAGGCAAAATTATGACTATCGTGAGCCCTCCCTTGGTCAACTTGAATGTCAAGAAACCAATATCAAATAAATAAAGAGCCTGCACTCCATGCTGCAAAAATAAGCATGTCCATTTGCTTGAAAAAAAGATTTTTTCAGATGAGGGAACATTTTCCAGTCAATCACCCTGCAGCAAAGTCATCCTGTTGAATTTGTGACTCACAGCCTCTCTGTGTCAATAGACAGAGTCAGCCCAGAGTTATGACTTCACAGAAAGATGAAGCAAAAGCTGGGAGACGAGGCAGGACCAGCTTTAAAAGAAGGCTGTAAGCTCAGACAACAAGTAGCAAAAGAAACACTGACCACTCACAGGCTGGGTAATTGCATTCGTTGCTTCTTTTTATTTCTTGCTCGTCTCCTAGAAAAGAACAACTCTGACTTTGACTTCATCCTTTCATTGCATTAACATTGACGGGGGACATGGTCATTGTCAGGGCTATGACTTTGCCTGGTGCTCCATATACATTGTTATCTCATTCTGTTCTCATAGCAATTCTATAAGGTAGGTGGTATTTGTATTATTTTATTTTATTTCCTTTTTTTTGGAGATGGAGTCTTGCTCTGTTGCCCAGGCTGGAGTGCAATGGCGCAATCTCAGCTCACTGTGCGAACTCTACATCCTGGGTTCAAGCGATTCTCCTGCCTCAGCCTCCCGAGTAGCTGGGACTACAGGTGCATGCTGCCACACCTGGCTAAGTTTTTGTGTTTTAGTAGAGACGGACGGGGTTTCACCGTGTTGCTCAGGCTGGTCTCAAACTCCTGAGCTCAGACAATCCGCCCACCTCGGCCTCCCAAAGTGCTGGGATGACAGGCAGGAGCCGTTGCGCCTGGACTTTATTTACTTTTATTTATTATTTATTTTATTTTTATTTTTATTTATTTATTTTTGAGACGGAGTCTCACTCTGTTGCCCAGGCTGGAGTGCAGTGGCACAATCTCGGCTCACTGCAACCTCCGTCTCCCGGGTTCAAGCAATTCTCCCTGCCTCAGCCTCCTGAGTAGCTGGGACTACAGGTGCCCACCACCACACCCAGCTAATTTTCGTATTTTTTAGTAGAGACAGGGTTTCGCCACGTTGGCCATGCTGGTCTTGAACTCCTGACCTCAGGTGATCTGCCTCCCAAAGTGCTGGGATTACAGGCATGAGCCACCGCACCTGGCCTGTTTATTTTATTTTATTATTATTATTTTTTGAGACAGAATCTTGCTCTGTTGCCCAGGCTGGGTGCAGTGGTGTGATCTTAGCTCACTGCAACCCCCTCCTCCTGGGTTCAAGCGATTCTCCTGCCTCAGCCTCCTGAGTAGCTGGGATTACAGGCACACGCCACCATGCCCAGCTAATTTTGTATTTAGTAGCGACGGGGTTTCACCGTGTTGGTCAGGCTGGTCTCAGACGCCTCAGCCTCCTGAAGTGCTGGGATTACAGGTGTGAGCCACCGTGCCCAGCCTATTTATTTTATTTTTAAGAGGCAGGGTCTTGCTCTGTTGCCCAGGCTGGAGCACAGTGGGCACAATCATAGCTCATTGTAACCTCAAATTCTTGGACTCAAGGGATCCCCCCACCTCAGCCTCCCAAGTAGCTGGGACTACAGGTGCGTGCCACCATGCCTGGCTAATTTTTCAATTTTTTGTAGAGGCAGAGTCTTGCTTTGTTTCCCAGGCTAGTCTCAAACTCCTAGCTTCAAGCAGTCCTCCTGCCTAGGCCTCCTAAAGTGCTATTACAGGTGTGAGCCACTGCACCTGGCCTGTATTATTTTATTTTATTTTATTTATTTTTCTGAGATGGAGTCTCGCTCTGTCGCTCAGGCTAGAGTGCAGTGGCACGATCTCGGCTCACTGCAACCTCCGCCTCTCAGGTTCAAGCAATTCTCCTGCCTCAGCCTTCTGAGTAGCTGGGATTACAGGCATGTGCCACCACACCCGGCTAATTTTTGTATTTTTAGTAGAGATGGGGGTTTCACCATGTTGGTCAGGCTGGTCTCAAATGCTTCACCTCATGATCCGCCCGCCTCGCCCTCCCAAAGTGCTGGGATTACAGGCATGAGCCACCGCGCCTGAATGCCTGTTTTATTTTATATGAGAATAATTATGAGAATAATTGAGGCCCACAGAGATTAGGTAACTTTGTAACCTTCTGCTTAAGGATTCTCACCCAGTTCTCCCTGGCTTCAATTTCAAATTTTGTGTGAGTTTCGGACAGCCTCTTATTTTGTTATCCTACTATAAGCCAGACAGGTACCTTGGCACCAGGGTCTCACCAATAAATCAGACATAGTTCTTGCCCTCAAAGAGCTTGGGGCCAGCCAAAATACTGTTGTCTTGGTGTTCAAGACCAATGCAGCACAATCCGTTTAGGCTGCCTGTAAACAAGTTAATATTGAAGAAAAGATAGTACCAACAGACTCACTACTTGTTTTCCAAGTTGCTACTATTTGCAGATTTCTCAGGAATGCCTGTGGGGATGAAAAGCCACTAAGAGATAATAAACCATAGAAGAGCGTATGTGGAGTGAAAACGGTTGATCTGAAGGCGAAGCTTGCAGCCAGTCAGCTTTGCCTGGCATGCTGGTTGTGGGGAGGTAGAGGCTTAACGTTTGGTCTTGTCTAGCCACAGAGCAGGCTAGGCAGGGACAGGGCCTGGCTGCGGAGGTGGAAGGCCTGGGCTCTAGTCTGAGCTTGGCTACCACACACTTGGAGGCTTAGGTCTGCTGTTTGCTCTGTTCAGAACCTGTTGAGGTTCTGAATCTTCTACACGAAGGCAGATGAAAGCTGAAAATTGACTTTGATATGTGATTAAAGTCCATAGGTGGTTTGGTGACTCTCAGACAAAGATTAAGTAGACTTTTGAGGCTGTGACTTCACTATAGAGACACAGTGTGCAGAATGGATTGAGGCTCTCATACGCAAATCCAATCCACCGTTAAGATTGTCACTCGTGGCCAGGCATGGTGGCTCACGCCTGTAATCCTGGCACTTTGGGAGGCCAAGGTGGGCGGATCATGAGGTCAGGAGTTCCAGACCAGCCTGACCGACATGGTGAAACCCTGTCTCTACTAAAAATACAAGAAAAAACAAAATTAGCCGGTGTGGTGGCACATGGTTGTAATCCCAGCTACTCAGGAGGCTGAGGCAGGAGAATCACTTGAACTTGGGAGGCAGAGGTTGCAGTGAGCTGAGATGGCGCCACTGCACTCTAGCCTGGGTGACAGAGCAAGACTCTATCTCAAAAAAAAAAAAAAAAGAAAGTTCAAAAATTGACTTTGATATGTGATTAAAGTCCACAGGTGGGTTGGTGACTCTCAGACAAAGATTAAGTACACCTTTGAGGCTGTGACTTCACTGTAGAGACACAGTATGCAGAATGGATTGAGGCTCTCATACACAAATCCAATACAACGTTAAAATTGTCACTCTTGGCAGGGTGCAGTGGCTGACGTCTGTAATCCCAGCACTTTGGGAGGCCCAGGCGGGTGGATCACCTGAGGTGAGGAGTTTCGAGACCAGCCTGGCCAACATGGTGAAACCCTGTCTCTACTAAAAATACAAAAATTAGCTGGGCGTGGTGGCGGGTGCATGTAATCCCAGCTACTTGGGAGGCTGTGGCAGGAGAATCTCTTCAACTCAGGAGGCCTCCAAGGTTGCAGCGAGCCAAGACCGCGCCACTGCACTCCAGCCTGGGTGACAGAGCGAGACTGTCTCAAAAAAGAAAGATAGTCATTTGTGCACTTGGACCCAACATATAAAAGGTGCTGACTCTCATACCTAGACACAGGACAGGTGGGGGATACTTAATCTCAGCTCTGGACCTTCCTGAAAGTGTGGTTGTGACATAGCCCATCATGGCTAAGCTCTTTATTTGTAGCAAGAGGAGGGAGAGAAGGCAGTCTTTGTGGCTCCAGAGTGTCAGGATTCATGAGGATGGCTAGGTCAGTTCTTGATTTGGGGTGGAAGGCTTTCGCCTAGATATTCTATTAAAATGTTTTCTTCCTGGACTTAAATGATCCTTCCATCTCGGCCTCCCAAAGTGCTGGGATTATAGGCATGAGCAGTGGCCCGGTCTAGATATTCTCACATTAGAAAGGTAAAGAGCAGTGGACGAGCTGGCTCTCAAGGCTGAGACATTCTATCTCCTTAGCTCTTCTTGCAACTCTTCTGAAAATTGAGCTTGTAAAGTAGCTTTGATCCTTAAAAAAAAAAAAAAAATCTGTTGTCTGCTTAAACAAAAGCAGTTCTTAGAGTGGCTTTGCCTTTATTTTAGTATAACACAGATTGCTTCTCCTTTGTTTCCGTTGTCTCAGTGTTCTCCCAGTTCTAAGAAGCTGTCAGCGTATATAATATATTACCTGGTTGCCTCAGTCCCCTTCAAATTTCCATCCTTAAGGGTTTTCTTCCTAATGGTTGGGGAAATTCTTGAAAGGACAAGGTCAATATGCCTTTGCTGGGATATACTTTTAAAAAATTTATTTTGGCTCTGTGTTGTTTGTCAAGGCTTCAGAGAGCCCTGCAAGTGAGAGTGCTCCGTTTACCATTTTGAATTTCTCCCTTTCTGGTTGGCCAACATCGTGTTTCCACTGTAATCCACCTGAAAAACAAACAGGAAAGTTTACACAGGTCTCTGTGTTCAACCATCTGCCTCCGCAATGATCTCTACAACAATGTAAGAGCTAGAAGACCAACTCTGGGTGTGTGTGTGTGTGTGTGTGTGTGCGTGCGCACGTGTGTGATATTTGGGGAGCACGAGCTATGTGTCTGGCTCAGGGTTGGGCATTCGGAACATCAATGGCGAACAAAGATAGATGTGATCCCTACTCACAAGGAGCTTATAGTCTACTGTCAGAAGAAAGACATTAATCAAATAATCACAAAAGCAAAACCAGACTGCAATCACTGCTTTGAGGGAGGATGCACAGTGTAGCAAAGCTTATCATAGGGAAAACTAACCTAGTTAGGGTTAATAAGGAGAGTACTGGGAAGAGGAAAGTCATGTTCTCTCTGTGATCTCTGAGTGCTGATAAATGATTAAGACAAGCATTTGTACCCTTGTATTTCTAAATCTAATATGGTCTCCATGATTTTTTTAAAATCATGTAACGCCCCCAGCTAGGAACTCAGGGCACAGAGATAAACAAGACATTGCCTAGGAGACACACCCTGAAAGAAACTGTAATACAAGGTGCCAAGGTGATACTAGCAAGAGGGGTGTGCAAGGACGCCTAGGAGCCCAGAGGGCACAGGGGATTGGTTCTGCTTGGGGTGCGCCTGGCAGATAGGGAAGAGGAGGGGTGTCCAGGCAAAAAATTCAGCACAAATAAGCCACGGAGATGGGAGAGTATAGGGTATGCAGGTGGACCAGGATAAAATCCAGGGGGGGCCAGCATAGAGTGTGTAGGTAGAATAAGTAAATCTTTTGAAAAGACATTTGGAAACAGAAATGGAGGGGCCCAGGGTCACAACTTCTCTTAAATCAAATAGTTGCTCAAGACCCACATGTTGGCTGGGCGCGGTGGCTCACGCCTGTAATCCCAGCACTTTGGGAGGCCGAGGCGGGTGGATCACGAAGTCAGGAGATCGAGACCATCCTGGCTAGCACGGTGAAACCCCGTCTCTACTAAAAATACAAAAAATTAGCCGGGCACGGTGGCGGGCGCCTGTAGTCCCAGCTACTCTGGAGACTGAGGCAGGAGAATGGCGTGAACCCGGGAGGCGGAGCTTGCAGTGAGCGGAGATCCCGCCACTGTACTCCAGCCTGGGCGACAGAGCGAGACTCCGTCTCAAAAAAAAAAAAAAAAGACCCACATGTTAAAGCTGTCTTTTCCACCACTTCCGTGATCCTAGAACTATGTTCAGTTTTTTGGCACAGGTGTGTTGATTAGTCATATTATGATAATATTTTTCTTTAAATCCACATATTTAAAAAATATTTTGAAACTTTAAAGCATATTTAATAATAATATGTGTAATATTGCAGTTTGGATATGCTAGCTCAATGTTTTGTAAAGCATAAATAATAAATGCATAACAATTAAAATAATAAATATTTCCCTGTGTACCACATCAAATCACCTTGAGTCCCATCAGTGGTATTTGTATTCCTTGATCAAAAAAAAATTATACCGGGAATGGTGGTTCACACCTGTAATCTCAGCATTTTGGGAGAGCAAGGCAGGAGAATCACTTGGGACCACATGTTCAAGACCAACATAGCGAGACCCCATCTCAAAAAAGAAAAAAAAATTCTACGACAACTCTAGGACAATATAGATGGTAAAAAACAAAAATTCATTATTTTTTTCCATCACTTATGTATTATATTTAGTGATTGAGCAAAATCTTTTCAATCTAAACAGCTGGTTTGTATAACTAGCAGATAAAGACCATTGTATCTTTCTGCCTTTGGGCTGAGACTCTCTTTTCATCTTATTTTGTCCAATTTCTTTAGTGCTGAAAAAAATGCATTGTCCATACTAATGACAACCCACTGTGTACCTCCTCCCATGCTCTCCAGCGGTGCAGCTTGTGGTGGTCAGTTGCCTGTTTTTCCTCGCTGTGAACGCTTTTAATTAAAAGGAAGGTAATTTGCAATATTAAGCATGTCTTCTCTGAATTAATCCTCGAAACAACTCTAAAACAGTAGTAGATAAAGCCCTATTTTACAGATAAAGAAAGGGGGCTCAGATAGATCCAAGTGACTGCCCCTCTTAGTGCTGTGTGACCAGCCAGAGATGGGTTTGAATTTAGAATTATTTGATTTGAAGCCTGGGACTCTCTTTGGCTTCTAATGGAGTGCATTCACTTGGGTGGACTTTTTTCCCCATCCATTTAACAGATATTTTCAGAATGCCAGTTATGTAGAAGGTACTCTGCTGTATGATGGGAGATCCAGAGATAAGTATAAATGGTATAAGCTGTACTATCAAGATGCTTATAGCTGCCAGGCACAGTGGCTCATGCCTGTAATCCTACTATTTTGGGAAACTGAGGCAGGCACATCACTTGAGGTCAGGAGTTTGAGACCAGCCTGTCCAACATGGTGAAACTTTGTCTCTACTAAAAATACAAATATTAGCCGGGTGTGGTGGTGTGCACCTGTAATATCAGCTACTCAGGAGGCTAAGGCAGGAGAATCGCTTGAACCTGGGAGGCAGAGGTTGCAGTGAGCCGAGATCGCGCCACTCACTCCAGCCTGGGCAATAGAGTGAGACTCCATCTCAAAAATAAAATAAAATAAATAAATAAATATACAAAAATTAGCTGGACATGGTCGCATGCACCTGTAGTTCCAGCTACTAAGGGGATTGAGAGAGGAGGATCACCCGAGCCTTGGGAGATCGAGACTGCAGTGAGCTGTGATCACACCACTGCACTCCAACCTGGGTGACAGAGTGAGATATTGTCTCAAAAATAAATAAATAAAAGGCCAGGGGTGCTGGCACATGCCTGTTATCCCAGCACTTTGGGAGGCTGAGGTGGGCGGAACACCTGAGGTCAGGAGTTTGAGACTAGTCTGACCAACACAGTGAAACCCCGTCTCTCTGAAATACAAAAAATTAGCTGGGCGTGGTGGTGCATGCCTGTAATCTCAGCTACTTAGGAGGCTGAGGCAGGAGAATCACTTGAACCAGGGAAGTGGAGAGGTTGCAGTGAGCTGAGACCTCAACATTGTACTTCAGCCTGTGCAACAAAAGTGAAACTCCTCTCAAAAAAAAAAAAAAAAGAAGAAGAAAGAAAAGAAAAAGAAAAAAGGAAAAAAGGCTGGGTGCAGCGGCTCATGCCTGTAATCCCAGCACTTTGGGAGGCTGAGGCAGGCAGATCACTTGAGGTCAGGGGTTTGACACCAGCCTGACCAACATATCATATTTTTTAATAATACAAAAATTAGCTGGGTGGGGTGGGAGGTGCCTGTAGTCCCAGCTACTCAGGAGGCTGAGGCAGGAAAATTGCTTGAACCCAGGAGGCGGAGGTTGCAGTGAGCCAAGATGGTGCCATTGCACTCCAGCCTGAGTGACAGAGGAAGACATCGTCTCAAAAAAAAAAAAGAAAAAGAAAAAAAGAAAAGAAAAAGAAAAAGAAAAGAAAGAAAGCTTTTAGCTCCTTCCTGGGAGAGTCAGAATTATAAATGGTTACATTTAAAAAATTACTTTTGTTTTAACTAATATAGACACTAAGAAATTCAAACGGTTGGCTGGGCGCGGTGGCTCACGCCTGTAATCCCAGCACTTTGGGAGGCCAAGGCGGGTAGATCACAAGGTCAGGAGACTGAGACCATCCTGGCTAACACAGTGAAACACCGTCTTTACTAAAACTACAAAAAAACTTAGCCGGGCATAGTGGTAGGTGCCTGTAGTCCCAGCTACTCAGGAGGCTGAGGCAGGAGAATTCCTTGAACCCTGGAGGCAGAGGTTGCAGTGAGCCGAGATCGTGCCACTGCACTCCAGCCTGGGGACAGAGTGAGACTCCGTCTCAAAAAAAAAAAGAAAGGAAGAAAGAAAGAAAGAAATTCAAACAGTTTATGAAATGTCAAAGAACTGTTCTGCAGATGAAGCCAGCATGAATAGCTTCTTCATATTTTTACTTTACTCTGCCACTCTACAAACTATTTGAAGTGACTCACAGTGAAGAATATGTTTTTTTTCCATTATAAAGTTAATAGTATAGAAATAGAAAACCAAGTCATTAAGTCATTAAAAAAAGAAGGAAACTAGCATGTGATATAGTTGCTATGATTGAGCATCACATCTTAGCAACTTAGCTTCCTGGCAGCCAAGACAAAAAGGGAACAAGCTAAGTTCCGTAGCTCTCATTATCAGAAAGGAAGAAGTTCATTGCTATTTTGGTCCTTAAACCTTAAGCTCACTTCTCACCTGTAAGCCCACAGAGGGACATTGATAGACACAATAATTAATGTTTTTGGCAACAGCCTTACCACAATTGCCAATTTTTGTCTGCCCTTTCTTGTGAAGGCCTTTAATTAAGGTCAAGGGCTTAACACTGAAGCAGACATCAGTGAGGGCTTGGCTAACCTAGTTCAACAACTGTCTGTAACCCAAAGCAGAATGGAATCAGGAACTAGTTAGCACTACAAGTGAAGTATAAAGGATCTCAAGAGGATCATGCAATTACAGCTGTCCTTTCATATTCACGGGAGATTGGATGCTCAAGTTCCTTATATAAAATGACATAGTATTTGCATATAACCTGTGCATATCCTCCTGAATAATTTAAACCATCTCTAGACTACTTACAATACCTAATACAATGTAAATGCTGTGTTTGTTATACTGTATTCTTTTATTTGTATTACTTTTAATTGTCGTATTTTTTTGTTGTTGTTGTTTCTAAAAAATTATCTCTGCCGGGTGCGATGGCTCACATTTGTAATCCTAGCACTTCGGGAGGCCGAGGTGATCTCTTGAGCGCAGGAGTTCGAGACCAGCCTGGGCAATATGGTGTGACCCCTCCCCCTGCTGTCTCTACAAAAAATACAAAAAATTTGCCGGGTGTGTGCCTGTAGTTTCACCTACTTGGGAGGCTGAGGTGGGAGGATCACTTGAACCAGGGAGGTGGAGGTTGCAGTGACCTGAGATTGCACCACTGCACTCTAGCCTGGGTGACAGAGCAAGGCCCTGTCTCAAAAATAAAGAAAGAAAGAAAGAAAGAAAAAGAAAAAATTATCTGTAGGTTACTTATCATGCCTAATACATTGTAAATGCTATCTAGTTGTTAACAGTGTCTTGGTTTTTATTTGCCTTATTTTTTGTTGTTGTGTTGGTTTTCTTAATTGTTTTTTCCCACTGAATATTTTCCATCCACAGGGATTCAGAACCTGCGGATGTGGAGGGCCAGAGGGCTGAATTTGCAAGTTGGGCAATGGGGAAAGCCTTCACAAAGGAGAAAGCCTTTGGGCTGGAATTGGAGGAGTAGGAGTCAATAGAGAGAGAAGAGAGTAAAGGGCAAGGCCATCATTCCAGGTTTAGGGAGCAAGTACAAAGACACAGAGAAATGAAAAGGCTTGGCCTGTTTGGAGAATGTCAAGCTGTCTGGGGTTGAGAGAAAGACATTCTAACAAGGCTTCCATTAAAGAGGCTAGATTTGCTGCTTGGACATTTTCTAGCTCTTCTGAGACAACTTTTTGTTGAGTTAAGCGAAAATGAATGAAAATCAGATGGACCATATTTCTCTTGAATGCACACGGGCTTAAAAACGAAGGGGAAAAAGAACTTGACAGAATGTGTCTTGGCTTTTGCCAAACCCAAAGTATTTGAAAAATCACACAGTACACATCTCGAACCCAAAAACATGCCTGGATTCTACCACCCCTAACTGCAGCTGCAGCCATTTAATAAAATGAATTGTGTACAAGAAAATGGGGTCCGAATGGAGTGAGCTTCATTAGAGAGAATGACTGATGTAGGGCGGTTGGCTGGTGCCCTTGAGAAAGTACATATCTCATTGCCCTTGCAGAGAAAGAGAGAGGCCCAATGTAGAGCTTTCTAACCACGCTATTGAATCAAGCTCTCTTGTAGAGAACAACTAAAACCCCACATTATTTAACTTTATTGTATCATGTGTAGGAAGAATTCAGCATCTCTTGTTTCTCTCCCACTCTGTTTCTCAGTTTTACACTGTGAAGTATGACAATGAAAAGAAACATGTTTTACATCAGTCTTGATTCACATAAATGGATACCAAATAAGAGATGGTGGAAATAGAACAAGATTGCTAATATACTATTTATTTCCGTTGAAAACTCTTGGCTTGAGCATCATGGACATTTGAAAAGTAGAAGAAATCTGAGGCCCAGAAAGGTTAACTGATTTGTCCATGGTCCACAGTTGGTTAGTTGTAAAGTTAGGACTCAAACCTGGACCTCCGATTCCTGTTCTTTCATAGCAAACACATTTTTGTTGTTGTTGTTAATGTTGCAGGGCGAGGGTCAGCCTCAGGTACTAGATGTCCCAGAGATTCCTCCAGCTTAACATGTTCCTAATATTTTTACACCAAACCATCTTGGGGCCCTCAGTTTCTGATCTTAGTAGCACTGTCACCTCTGGGTTACTCACTCCAGAAACCTGGGCATTCCTCTTGACTACTCTTTCTCCCTTATACCTCTTATTTAAATAATCTTCCAGGCTGGGTGTGGTGGCTCACTCCTGTAATCCCAGCATTTTGGGAGGCCAAGGCTAGTGGATCACTGAGGTCAGGAGTTCGAGACCAGCCTGGCCAACATGGTGAAACCCCATCTCTACTAAAAATACAAAAACTAGCTGGGCATGGTGATGGGCACCTGTAGTTGCAGCTACTTGAGAGGCTGAGGCAGGAGAATCACTTGAATCCAGGAGGTAGAGGTTGCAGTGAGCTGAGGTCATGCCATTGCACTCCAGCCTGGGTGACAAGAGTGAAACTCGGTCTCAGATAAATAAATAAATAAATAAATAATCTTCCAGTTGTACTGATCTTCCTTTCTAAATATTTCTTAAATATGTCACTTTCTCTCTAGCCCTGTGTTCACTGACCTAGTTTTGACCCTAGTTGTCTTTCTCTCACTCTTCCACTTAAAAACAAAACAAAATTGGCCAGGTGTGTGGCTCATGCTTGTAACCCCAGCACTTTGGGAGGCCAAGGCAGGAGAATTGCCTGAGTCCAAGAGTTTGAGACCAGCCTGGGCAACACAGTGAAACCCTGTCTCTAGAAAACATACAAAAATTAGCCAGGCATCAGATCACCTGAGGTCTAGAGTTCAAGACCAGCTTGGGCAACATGGTGAAACCCCGTCTGTACTAAAAATACAAAAATTAGCCAGGCGTGGTGGCGGGTGCCTGTAATCCCAGCTACTCAGGAGGCTGAGGCAGGAGAATCACTTGAATCTGGAAGGCGGAGGTTGTGGTGAGCTAAGATCACACCATTGCACTCCAGCCTGGGTGACAAGTGTGAAACTCCGCCTCAAAAAAAAAAAAAAATTAGCCAGGCATGGTGGCATGGGCCTGTAGTCTCAGCTACTGGGAGGCTGAGGAGGGAGGATCGCTTGAGCCCAGGAGGTCAAGGCTGCAGTGAGCCAAGACTGCGCCACTGCATTCCAGCCTGGGTGATAGACTTTGTCTAAAAAAAACCCCAAAAACAAAACCAATAATACTCCATATTTTGAATTTATTCTGCCAATTTATTTTTTGTTTCATCTTCATTAACCTGGATTATTGCAATATTCCCTAAACAGCCTCCCTGCCTGGGAACCATTTTCCACACTGCTGCCGAAGTGATTTTTTTTTTTTTTTTTTTGAGACGGAGTTTCGCTCTTGTTGCCCAGGCTGGAGGGCAATGGCGCAATCTCGGCTCACCGCAACTTCCGCCTCCTGGGTTCAAGCGATTCTCCTGCCTCAGCCTCCTGAGTAGCTGGGATTACAGGCATACACCACCATGCCCCGCCAATTTTGTATTTTTAGTAGAGATGAGGTTTCTCCATGTTTTTCAGGCTGGTCTTGAACTCCCAACGTCAGGTGATCCTCCCACCTCAGCCTCCCAAAGTGCTGGGATTACAGGCGTGAGCCACCGCGCCCAGCCTTGATTATTTTAGTTAGCAAATAACCTGTCACTGCCCATCCTTGGTGCCCCTCTATGGCAGCATTCAACTCTTAGCAAGACTGGTCTTTATTATGCCTCCATGACTCCGTCTCTTGCTCTTTCCGATCTCAAACTTTATGCTGAGCACCATGACACCTTGTGGCTTCTTGAGCAAGGCAGGCTGCTTTTTATTTGTTTGTCTGCTTGTGGTTATTGTTTGCTTGCTTTTGCTCACTTTTGTTTTTACCTCTGAGCCTTTCTTTATTCATACCGTGACCTCCACTGGCAATGCCCTTCCCATCTATCACGTACTGCCCCAAGGAGTTTTCATCCTCAGCGTCTGGCATGAAAACAGGCATAATGTAGATATTCAATAAAATGTTTTTAAGTGCATTCTTGACTTATGAGCACAGTCCAAGATGCCCATTCACTCATTCACCCACTCATTCATTCATCTGCGTTATCTCACTTAATCTTTGCAGAAAGCCCATAAAGTGCCATTCATGTGAACACACTGGCATAAGCTGTGCCATTGAAACTGCTGCTGCAATATTATGTCAACATTGTAGTAGTTGGTAAATAGCCACTGTCCTGCGACCACCGAGTGTCCCCCACCACACTGGCTCCTCTCCTGGAGTGCCCTGGTCCTCCCTATGATTCAGCTACTAAAGGGTTAACTTTGGGTACCTTCCCCCAAGCCCACCAGGAACTTATGGCAGTACCCTTGTTGCGGTTCTCCTGCCATCTGGATTGTTAAATGCACACTGCCACTTCTGCCCATAGGGAGGGTTTCACAGACTCTAGTTTACGCCTGAAGCTTAGAGAGGTTAAGCGACTTATCAAGATCACTCAGCAAGCTCCTGATTCCCCTCTCTGCGAATCTAGAGCTCTTTCTAGGAAGTACTGAAGCCTTCTTCTCCTGTCTGTTCTATTCCTTGTGATGTCCAACATCTTGGCTGACCAGAACCTGCCCCAGTTTTGACACACTCCTCTGTGCACAGGGTGAGGCTCTGGGTAGCCAAGTAAGAGCCAGGGCTTGAGTACAGCCTCCTACATTTACCTAAACTTAAAATACAACAGCAAGAAATGAGGTCTTTCTTCTTTTTTTTTTTTTTTCCCATGTGAACGTTTGTGTGTATTTGTGTGTGTGTGTTCTGCAAATTCAAGATCAGCCAAAATAAATTTTAGTTCAACTTGTTCAAACAAAATTACATTCACTTGGAAACACAGTGGGGTGTTTCTGGCCTGATGTATAATTACTTTCCTTAGGTTATAACTGTTTCACCTTCTCTCTTTCTTCATAAAAGAAAGTCCCTTTTCCAGCTGGAGCTTCACTGAGGGAGAGTGGGGCAACCGGAGACAGAGTACAGAACACAATATTCATTGCTGTTTTTGGACATGGAACCCAGAGGTTTACCCATACATAAAAACACACTTCTAAAGGCCAAGGTTTTGTGCTCTGAAGTTCATAGTCTCAGCTTGATCCTGCTGAACAACAGAGGATTTTTTTTTGATATTTTATTTATTTATTTTTCTGCTTTAGCATTTTGTTTGTTTGTTTACTGTACTTTAAGTTCCGGGATACATGTGCAGAATGTTCAGGTTCGTTACATAGGTGTACACATGCCATGGTGGTTTGCTGCACCCATCAACCCATCATCTATATTAGGTATTTCTCCTAATGCTATCCCTCCCCTAGCCCCGCTAATGCTATCCCTCCCCAGAACCCCCGGTGTGTGATGTTCCCCTCCCTGTGTCCATGTGTTCTCATTGTTCAACTTCCACTTATGAGTGAGAACATGCGGTGTTTGGTTTTCTGTTCCTTTGTTAGTTTGCTGAGAATGACGATTCCCAGCTTTATCCATGTCCCTGTGAAGGACACGAACTCATCCTTTATTATGGCTGCATAATATTCCATGGTGTATATGTGCCACATTTTCTTTATCCAGTCTATCATTGAAGAGCATTTGGGTTGCTTCCACATCTTTGCTATTTTGAACACTGCTGCAATAAACATACACATGCATGTGTCTTTATAGCAGAATGATTTATAATCCTTTGGGTATATACCCAGTAATGGGATTGCTGGGTCAAATGGTATTTCTGGTTCTAGGTCCTTGAGGAATCGCCACATTGTCTTCCACAATGGTTGAAATAATTTACACTCCCACCAACAGTGTAAAAGCGTTCCTATTTCTCCACATCCTCTCCAGCATTTGTTGTTTCCTGACTTTTTAATGATCGTTATTCTAACTGTCGTGAGATAGTATCTCACTGTGGTTTTGATTTGTATTTCTCTAATGACTAGTGATGATGTGCATTTTTTCATCTGTCTGTTTGTCTCATAAATGTCTTCTTTTGCGAAGTGTCCATTCATATCCTTCGCCCACTTTTTGATGGGGTTGTTTTTTTCTTGAAATTTGTTTAAGTTCTTTGTAGATTCTGGATATTAGCCCTTTGTCAGATGGATAGATTGCAAAAATTTTCTCCCATTCTGTAGGTTGCCTGTTCACTCTGATGGTAGTTTCTTTTGCTGTGCAGAAGCTCTTTAGTTTAATTAGATCCCATTTGTCAATTTTGGCTTTTGTTGCCATTTCTTTTGGTGTTTTAGTCATGAAGTCCTTGCCCATGCCTATGTCCTGAATTGGTATTGCCTAGGTTTTCTTCTAGGGTTTTTATGGTTTTAGGTCTTACTTTAAGTCTTTAATTCATCTTGAGTTAATTTTTGTATAAGGTGTAAGGAAGGGGTCCAGTTTCAGTTTTCTTCATATGGCTAGCCAGCTTTCTCAAGACCATTTATTAACTAGGGAATCCTTTCCCTATTGCTTGTTTTTGTCAGGTTTGTCAAAAATCAGATGGTTTAGATGTGTGACATTATTTCTGAGGCATCTGTTCTGTTCCACTGGTCTATATATCACAACAGAGGATTTTAAACACCTCATATCTACCTCTTATCTTCCAGACAGCAACCCCACTCCTTGTCCTCTTTTCTCTTGGGATACCAGGTCCTCTTCTGTGGCCCAGTGCTGCTTGCTTGCCTCCACCTCCTCCCGAATGACCTTCTACAGTGCAGCCTTGCTACTGCCCTGTCATTCTGGAAGCCTTGGACATGTAAGAGAAGTCCAGGGCAATATAGAAATGACAGCCAGGCATGGTAGCTCATGCCTGTAATCCTGGCACTTTGGGAGGCTGAGGCAGGAGGATTGCCTGAGCCCAGGCGATCAAGACCAGCCTGGGCAACACAGAGAGACCTTGTCTCTAATATATATATAAAATATATATGTAATTATTATATGATTATTATTTTCCAATTAAAATAAATTTTGAAAATGCATTGGCAGGCAGCTGGGTGCAGTGGCTCATGCCTGTAATCCCAGCACTTTGAGAGGCCGAGGCGGGCAGATCACAAGGTCAAGAGATCGAGACCATCCTGACCAACATGGTGAAACCCCGTCTGTACTAAAAATACAAAAATTAGCTAGGCATGGTGGCGTGCGCCTATAGTCCCAGCTTCTCGGGAGGCTGAGGCAGGAGAATCACTTGAACTCAGGGGGTGGAGGTTGCATTGAGCTGAGATCACGCCACTGCACTCCAGCCTGGTGACAGAGCAAGACTCCGTCTTCAAAAAAAAAAAAATGTGTTGGGAGGCTGCATTTAAGGAAATATGATATATAAGAACATGATCCTGCTGGGTACAGTGGCTCACTCCTGTAATCCCAGCACTTTTGGAGGCCAAGGCAGGAGGATCGCTTGAGGCCGGGAATTTGAGACTGGTTTGGGTAACATTGAGAAACCCCATCTCTATTTAATAAAAAATGTGTTTAAAAAATTTTAAAAAAAGGAGAAGTTTCACAGTGAGAACAATGCCCAGGTTTTCTCCCTCTAGAAGATCTGTCCCTGGGAAGCCAGAGTGTGACCTAGAGGTTACCAGGTGGGCCTGGAATCCAGGCAGGTTAGTTATGGGCCTTCACTGTTCAAAGGTATCGGTCCCAAGCAACCTGCCCTGTACATCCCGCCATTGGGAGAAGGCTTAAAATCCACTGGTGGCTGGGCATGGTGGCTCACGCCTGTAATCCCAGCACTTTGGGAGGCCAAGGCGGGCGGATCATCAGGTCAGGAGTTCAAGACCAGCCTGACCAACATGGTGAAACCCCGTATCTATTACAAATACAAAAATTAGCCAGGCATAGTGGCGACTGCCTATAATCCCAGCTACTCAAGAGGCTGAGGCAGGAGGATCGCTTGAACCCGGGAGGCAGAGGTTGCAGTGAGCTAAGATTGTACCACTACACTCCAGCCTGGGCAACAGAACAAGACCTCGTCTCAAAAACAACAACAACAACAACAACCACCAATCCACTGGTGAAGACCCCTCTTCCCTGAACAGGAGTGGGATCTGCCGTAGGTCTTGCCAAATCTTTGCAGTGGCCTGCAAGGCCCTAGACCACCTAGCTCCCTGTTTCCTTGCTGACCTCATCTCCTCCTCCCCACTTGCAAAGTCCCGTCCAGCACTGGCTTCTTCACCGTTGCTCCAGTGCTCCAGGCCTCCTACCCCAAATCTTTTGCCTTTGTGGGTTCCCCTACCTAGAATATTCTTCCCCAGACATCCAAACAGTGAATTTCATCAACTTCAAGTCTTTCCTTAGTACCCACTTTCTGCCATAGTCAGCCTTTTAAAAATTGCAATTCTGGCTGGGCACAGTGGCTCATGCCTGTAATCACAGCACTTTGGGAGGCCAAGGCGGGAGGGTAACCTGAGGTTGGGAGCTCAAGACCAGCCTGACCAACATGGAAAAACCCCGTCTCTACTAGAAATACAAAATTAGCCTGCTGTGGTGGCGCATGCCTGTAATCGCAGCTATTCGGAAGGCTGAGGCAGGAGAATCGCTTGCACCCAGGAGGCGGAGGTTGCAGTGAGCCGAAATCACACCACTGCACTCCAGTCTAGGCAAAAAGAGTGAAACTCTGTCTCAAAATAAAATAAAATAAAATAAAATTGGAATTCCTCATCCCCAAACTTGGAAATCTATATTCCTCTTGATGACTTTTTTTTTTTTTTTTGAGATGGAGTCTTGCTCTGTTGCCCAGGCTGGAGTGTAATGGTGCAATCTCGGCTCACTGCAACCTCCGCCTCCAGGGTTCAAGCAATTCTCCCACCTCAACATCTCGAGTAGCTGGGATTACAGCCATGTAACACCACGCCCAGCTAATTTTTGTATTTTTAGTAGAGATGGGGTTTCACCATGTTGGCCAGGTTGGTCTCAAACTCCTGACCTCAGGTGATCTCCCCACCTCAGCCTCCCAAAGTGCTGGGATTACAGGCACGAACCACCATGCCTGGCCCAGGCCAGTCTTGAACTCCTGAACTCAAGCCATCCTCCTGCATCAGCCTCCAAAAGTGCTGGGATTACATGCATGAGCTACTGCATCCAGCCAAGTTTATTTTCTCTGTATCTTTTACCTGCATCTGCCATATAACTTACTATATTTGGTTATCTTTTTTATTGTCTGACTTCCTCCCTAGAATATAAGCTCTGCAAGGTCAGGGTTCCAACTGCATGTGTTACTCACTCTATATCCTCATACCGAGAACACTGCCTAGCATAGGGTGAGAGTTTAGTAATCATTTGTTGAATAAATGAATGAATATGGCTGGGTATGGTGGCTCACGCCTGTAATCCCAGCACTTTGGGAGGCCAAGGTGGGCAGATCACCTGATGTCAGGAGTTTGAGACCAGCCTGGCCAACATGGCGAAACCCTGTCTCTATTAAAAAACGCATAAAAATTAGCCAGGTGTGACCAGGCGCGGTGGCTCACTCTGTAATCCCAGCACTTTGAGAGGCCAAGGCCTGTGAATCACAAGGTCAGGAGATCAAGACCAGCCTGGCCAAGAGACCAGCCTGGCCAATATGGTGAAACCCCGTCTCTACTAAAAATACAAAAATTAGCCAGGCATGGTGGCAGGCGCCTGTAATCCCAGTTATCTGGGAGGCTGAGGCAGGAGAATCACTTGAACCTGGGAGGCAGAGCTTACAGTGAGCTGAAGATCACGCCATTGCACTTCAGCCTGGGCTACAGAGCGAGACTCCATCTCGAAAAAATAAATAAATTAATTAATTAAAAAATAAATAGATAAATAACTGCTTTTTCTGTGACTCCCAGGCTGACAAAGTCCCTTCCCTTCCTGCCCTCCGCCAGCCACTCCTGGGCACATTCCTTCTTTAGATACATTAATCCTGAGTCGAGTTTAGTTTTGTTTTGGGACAGCTATCCAATCTCTTTTCAGCTCTGCATATCTTTGCCCTAATGCTTCAGGGCATGTCAGTGTCACCTCTATCAAGCTCCCATCTGTAAAGGTCTTGTGACTGGCCTATGACTGACCTGTGAGTGGCCTGGAGAAGGAGGTAGCGGCAGCATTAGAATCAGACCCCTGGACACCCATTCAGTCCTCCCTATCTTGGGCCCTAGAAGTGGGTAACAAAGCCCTGCACGGTGGCTCACGCCTATAATCCCAGCACTTTGGGAGGCGAAGGCAGCGGATCACTTGAGGTCAGGAGTTTGAGATCAGCCTGGCCAACATGGTGAAATCCCGTCTCCATTAAAAATACAAAAATTAGCTGGAAATTGCCTGAACCCGGGAGGCAGAGGTTGCGGTGAGCCGAGATCGTGCCACTGCACTCCAGCCTGGTCAACAGAGCGAGACTCCATTTCAATAAAATAAAATAAAATAAAAATACAAAAACAATAGCCAGGCGTGGTGGTGGGCACCTGTAATCCCAGTTACTCGGGAGGCTGAGGTGGGAGAATCACTTGAACCTGGGAGGCTGAGGTTGCAGTGACAAAGCGGGGGAGTTGAGACCCACAGGTCTACAAGGTGTATTTTGTCATTTGCCCAGTTTAGCCTGGGCGACAGAGGGAGACCATGTCTCAAAAGCAAAAAAAAAGTGGGTAACAAAAGGTCAAGTTGGATTTGAGACTTCAAGAAGGAAGGTAGTAGGAAAAGAAGAGAGCCTAATAACAAGGACCAGGGTCATTACCTAGGTTGGAAATTCAGGAGCAGCAGCAGGTCATTTGAGGAGTGCCCTGTCTGCAACATTCGTTTCTGTTCTGGTCAAAGCCCACTTAGCAGAAGAAGTGAATTTTGGTTGAGCAGTTTTATAAAATAATTTTAAAATTTATTTACTTTTTAATTTTTTTTTTTTTGAGACTGAGTCTTGCTCCGTCACCCAGGCTGGAGTGCAGTGATACGAACTCGGCTCGCCACAACCTCCACCTCCTGGGTTCAAGTGACTCTCCTGCCTCAGCCTCCCAAGTAGCTGAGATTACAGGTGCATGCCACCACACCTGGCTAATTTTTGTATTTTTAGTAGAGACAGGGTTTCACCATGTTGGCCAGGCTGGTCTGGAACTCCTGGGCTCAAGCAATCCACCCGCCTTAGCCTCCCATAGTGCTGGGATTACAGGTGTGAGCCACTGCACCTGGCCTAAATGTTTTTTATCAGAGACAGGTTCTCACTCTGTTGTCCAGGATGGAGGAGAGTGGCGCCATCATAAGTCACTGCAGACTCCAGGCTCAAGTGATCCTCCCATCTCAGGTTCCCAAGTAGCTGAGGCCACAGGTCAGTGCCACCATGCCTGGGTAATTTTTAAAATTTTTTGTGGAGTGGGAGTTTTGCTATGTTGTTCAAGCTGGTCTTGAACTTCTAGGTTCAGGGAATCCTCTCACCTCAGCCTCCCAAATCATTGAGATAATAGGCATGGGCTGGGCGCAGTGGCTCACACCTGTAATCCCAGCACTTTGGGAGGCCAAGGCGGGTGGATCACGAGGTCAAGATCAGCCTGGTCAAGATAGTGAAACCCCGTCTCTACTAAAAATACAAAAATTAGCCGGGCCTAGTGGTGCACCTGCCTGTAATCCCAGCTACTCAGGAGGCTGAGGAAGAGAATTTCTTGAACCCAGGAGGTGGGGGTTGAGTGAGCCGAGATGGCACCACTGCACTACATTCCAGCCTGGGCAACCGAGTGAGACTCTGTCTCAAAAAAAAAAAAAAAAAAAAAGTCATGAGCCACCACGACTGCCCTAACTGAGCAGTTGATAGTTAGATTGGTTTGCGACGGGTTGGGGATGGGGGGCGGTTGGGACCCACAGGTCTACAGGCTGTATTTTGTCGCTTAAAAAAAAATTCTTTTTAGGCCGGGCACGGTGGCTCATGCCTGTAATCCCAGCACTTTGGGAGGCCAAGGCAGGCGAATCACAAGGTCAGGAGATTGAGAGCATCCTGGCTAACACGGTGAAACCCCATCTCTGCTAAAAATACAAAAAAAAAAATAGCCAAGCGTGGCTGCATACGCCTGTGGTCCCAGCTACTTAGGGGGCTGAGGCAGGAGAATCGCTTGAACTCGGGAGGCGGAGATTGCAGTGAGACGAGATCACGCCGCTGCACTCCAGCCTGGGTGACAGAGCAAGACTCTGTCTCAAAAACAACAACAACAACAACAACAACAACAAAATTTTTTTGAGACAGAACCTCACTCTGTCACCCAGGCTGGAGTGCAGTGGTGCAATCATAGCTCACTGCAGCCTTGAACTTCTGTGCTCAAGCGATCCTTCCCCCTCATCCTCCCAATGTGCTGGGATAGCTGGGATTACAGACTGACCCAGGGTACTGAGCAAACAAGCTGTATTTTGAAGGGACTTCTCCAGTATGTACGGAGATGGACGCAGCCAGGCTGGCCGCCTCCCAGCAGGGAAAGGACTCATTGCCTCCAGGGAACCCTCTACACTCTGGGCTGGGAGAAAGACCAGATTGAGACACACACAGCTGCCTGTACGGTTCAGATGTTTGTTTTTTTTTTTTTGAGACACAGTCTCGCTCTGTCCCCCAGGCTGGAGTGCAGTGGCACAATCTCGGCTCACTGCAACCTCCGCCTCCGGGGTTCGAGTGATTCTCCCATCTCAGCCTCCCGAGTAGCTGAGACTACAGGCGCGCCACCATGCCCAGCTAATTTTTTATATTTTTAGTAGAGACGGAGTTTCACCATGTTGGCCAGGCTGTTCAGATTTCTTATCACATGGCTTTGTGATAAGAAATCTAGACAGGGAGAGCTCTGGGAGCAGGAAAGCCCCTATTTGCCCATCCCCTCCTTTTTTTTAATTATTAAAATTGTGGTAAAATATACATGACACAAAATTTACCACTTTAACCACTTTAAAAAATTTTTTTTTTATTGAGATGGAGTCTCGCTCCGACGCCAGGCTAGAGTTCAGTGGTGCAATCTCGGCTCACGCAACCTCCGCCTCCCGAGTTCAAGCGATTCCCCTGCCTCAGCCTCCTGAGTAGCTGGTACTATAGGTACGTGCCACCACACCCGGCTAATTTTTTTTTTTTTTTTTTTTTTGTGTTTTCGTAGAGACGGGGTTTCACCACGTTGGCCACGATGGTCTTGATCTCCTGACCCAGTGATCCCCCCGCACTGGCCTCCCAAAGTGCTGGGATTACAGGCGTGAGTCACCATGCTCTGCCCATTTTAACCACTTTTAAGTGTGCAGTTCAGAGACATTAAGTACATTAACATTATTGTGCAACCATCATCACCATCCATCTCCAGAACGTTTCCATTTTCTCCTACAGAAATTCGGTTCCCATTAAACACTAACTCCTCATTGTCTTCTCTCTGCAGTTTCTGGTAACCTCTATTCTACTTTGTGTCTCTATGGATTTGACTACTCTACTTATATAGGTAAAATCCTCTTGTGACAGGCTTATTTCCTTAGCATAATGTCTTCAAAGTTTATCCATGATGTAGCATGTGTCAGAAGTTCCTTCCTTTTCATGGCTGAGTACTATTTCATTGTATGTGAGCACTGCATTTTGTTTATCCATTCATCCCTTGATGAACGCTTGAGTGGCTTTCCCATTTGCCATTGAGTTGTCTCACATCCACAACACTGGGTCGATGTTCAGTGAGTGTAATGGATGAAAAAAACTCCAGCAGCATCTCAAGAAGGTCTGGGGTGGAGGAGAGTTGAAGAAAGATGCCCCCTTGAAATAGTGGGTGCCACCCAGGGAAGGCTGTTATCACTTTTGGAGGATGCTGATGAGGTAATCTGTACAGGTTCTGAAGCCTTTGTCATTTCACATGTTGGTTCCTTTGTCTCCTGTTCTTAGCAGTGTTTAGCAGTAACATTCTCTCTCTCTCTCTTCCGTTTTTTTCTTTTTTTTGAGACAGAGTCTAGCTTTGTTGCCCAGGCTGGAGTGCAGTGACGTGATCTCAGCACTGCAACTTCCGCCTCCCAGGGTCCAGCTATTCTCCTGCCTCAGCTTCCTGAGAAGCTGGGATTACAGGCATGTGCCCCCATGCCCAGCTAATTTTTGTATTTTTAGTAGAGATGGGATTTTGCCGTGTTGGCCAAGCTGGTCTCAAACTCCTGACCTCAGGTGATCTGCCCATCTCAGCCTCCCAAAGTGCTGGGATTACAAGTGTGAGCCACTGCACCCAGCCTAATTCTTGTATTTTTAGTGGAGACGGGGTTTCACCATGTTGGGCAGGCTGGTCTTGAACCCCTAACCTCAAGTGATCCACCTGCCTTGGCCTCCCAAAGTGGTGGGATTACAGGCATGCGCCACTGTGCATGGCCTTTTCTTTCTTTTTTTTAAAAAATTATTTGCATTTGTTTTCTTTCTTTTTTTTTCCTTCACCACTATCAGGTGAGAAGCAGTAACATTCTCAACCCTCAAAAGGCCCATGGATCTGTTTTTAGGGAAGAAAAGGAACCAAGGACTGGGGCATGCCCATCCCATGCCCAACCCGCTCCAAGAAGAAGAGAAGCCTCAAAGTCAACTGCAAGAATTTAGCATTTCTTAAACACCAATGGGCACCAGGCATTATACTGGCTGTCATTCATCTGATTTCACAGATTCCTCCTAACCAGCCATGAGGTCGGGATGATCACTCTCAGGTACTCACTGAAGTCCTGAGGCCTGGAGCTGGCCTGAGGTCTCAGCTGTTAGAGCGAGGCTTGGGCTGCTGCCACAACCTGTGCCCTCACTCATAAACCCCACTGTCCTCATGGGGGCCGAGCCATAGTTGTGATTGGCATTTGGAAAGTATGCACCAGATTCTAGTACTAGGATCCAAGGTCTTCCCCACAGAGCTCCCACGGCTTGTATAAGATCAGTCAGGAATAGGTGCCTGGACATGTGGTTCCAGTATGAGTCCAACAGCTTCCATGACCCTTTAGCCAGGGCTCCTCAACCTAGTGCTGGTGGCTTCTGGAAGGTCTTTTGGCACATCCAGAGGCCAGTGAGTCTGGGTCCTGACCCCCATTAACTGAGTACTCCTTGCCTGCTGTAGGAGGCCCCAGGTAGTCAGGGAAGAGCCTGGAGAAAGCTGGAAGTTGATTTGCCTTCAACAAAGAGTGCCTTATCGCCTCTCCCTCATCCTACATCCTTGCCCCCTTGCCGACCCGGAATCCTCCCTCAGGCATCCAAATGCCGGAGTCACTCCGCTCCAGCCTTTATTCTCATTCTGGAATCTGACACTGCCTGGCCACATGTCCTTGGACTACTCTCTTATCTTCTGTGTCTCAATTTCCCCTTTCTGAAAAATAGGTGTAATTATCATACCTACCTTACACTGTTGATATGGGATTTAAAGGAGCTCGTACTTGTAACTTGTATAGCATTTAGCATAGAACCTGTACATTATGGCTCAATATAATTTTTTTTTTTTTTGAGACAGAATCTCATTCTGTCACCCAGGCTAGAGTGCAGTGGTACGATCTCGGCTCACTGCAACCACTGCATCCTGAGTTCAAGCGAGCATGTTCAGCTAATTTTTGTATTTTTAGTAGAGATGAGGTTTCACCATGTTGGCCAGGCTGGTCTTGAACTCCTGACCTCAAGTGATCCACCTGCCTCAGCCTCCCAAAGTGCTGGAATTATAGGCATGAGCCACCATGCCCAGCCAGGTCAATAAATATTAGTTGTTATTAGTACTCCTTCTAGGTGTGCCCCTCCACCTTCCTGTGGTCTCTACTGCAGGCCTAGCTCCCCCATAACCTCCTCCAAGAAGTCTTCCCCAATTCTGTCCTGAGAGATGAAGCCCTTTAAAGACCCTAAAGGTTTTTGTTTTGTTTTTGTTTTTACCTTCTTTCTCTTGGCATTTGTTATTTGGGCCTGAATTCTCTCCTTTGCTGATCTGCAGGCTTCTTCAGGCAGAAACAATGTTTTTTTTTCACTGTGTAGGCTCCCCTTCACCAAGCAGGATCCTCCTCTTCATCTTCTTGGTCTTTGATCTCGAGGTCACATGGAGATTACAGACAGTGCACTGGGGTCAGGAGACCCAGGACTCAATGCGAAAACTCCATGGATCGTCAGCTTGGGCATGTCTCCTTTCCTGGGCTCCAGGTTCTCCAGTAGTACAGTGCAAGGACACTGGATTAGATGACTTCCTGAGACAATTTTCTTTTCTTTCTTTCTTTTTTTTTTTTTTGAGACATGACCTCACTCTGTCACCCAGGCTGGAGTGCAGTGGCACAATCTCGGCTCAGTGCAACCTCCGCCTCCCAGGCTCAACTGATCCTCCACCTCAGCCTCCCGAGTAGCTAGAACTACAAGTACGTGCCACCATGCCCAGCTAATTTTTTGTATTTTCGGTAGAGACAGGGTTTCACCATGTTGCCCAGGCTGGTCTCGATCTCCTGAGCTCCGATGATCCACCCACCTCAGCCTCCCAAACTGCTTGGACTACAGGTGGGAGCCACTGCACTGGGCTGACAATTTTCTTTCTTTCTTTTTTTTTTTTTTTTGAGGCCATCCAGGGAAGGCTGCTATCACTTTTGGGGGATCCTGATGAGGGAATCTGTGCAGATTCTGAAGCCTTTGTCATTTCACATGTTGGGTTCTGTTGTCTCCTGTTCCAAGCAGTGTGTTTAGCAGTAACATTCTCTCTCTCTCTCTTTTTTTTTTTTTTTTTTTTTTTTGAGATAGAGTCTAGCTTTGTTGCCCAGGCTGGAGGGCAATGGCGGATCTCGGCTCACCACAACCTCCGCCTCCCGGGTTCAAGCGATTCTCTTGCCTCAGCCTCCCGAGTAGCTGGGATAACAGGCATGTGCCACCATGCCTGGCTAATTTTGTATTTTTAGTAGAGATGGGGTTTTTCCATGTTGGTCAGGCTGGTCTCGAACTCCAGACCTCAGGTGATCCACCTGCCTTGGCCTCCCAAAGTGCTGGGATTACAGGCGTGAGCCACCGTGCCCAGCCTGGGTCGACAATTTTCTAAATAAATAGAAGGTACTAAATGTTTCAGGAGATAATTTCTTTCATCTGGCAAGCTGTACTTCCAAGCTTCCAAATTCTAGCTGAACATCAATGTGTTCATCATTGGGTTTAGAGCTTGGGTGCTGGAGTCACAGAGACTTGGGTTTGCATCTAGGTCATTAGTAATGGTGGCTGAATGCAAGTGACTTCCTCATTTCTGGGAAACTCCCTTTTCTCATCCATACATTGGGGATGATAATAACAACCTCAAGAGTTATTACAGAAGGGGTATTACATGAGAAATTTTAAAGGGCTTAGCACTGTGCCCTTTAAGATGTGGGTCAATCAACTATAGCTATTACCCCACTCCTTAAAAAATACGAGAAATTTAAAAAAAGTCTCCTGTGTCTTTATCTTTGACCAAATCTTTACATAAACAAATAAACAGTTGTGTTTAAGTGTGGGGTGGTGATAATATAGGGTATTATTAATTAATCTGCTTTTTTTTTTTTTTTTTTTTGAGACGGAGTCTTGCGCTGTCGCCCAGGCTGGAGTACAGTGGCGCGATCTCGGCTCACTGCAAGCTCCGCCTCCCAGGTTCACGCCAGTCTCCTGCCTCAGCCTCCCGAATAGCTGGGACTACAGGCGCCTGCCACCACGCCTGGCTAATTTTTGTATTTTTAGTAGAGACGGGGTTTCACTGTGTTAGCCAGGATGGTCTCAATCTCCTGACCTCGTGATCTGCCTGCCTTGGCCCCCAAAGTGCTGGGATTACAGGCTTGAGCCACCACACATGGCTTTTTTTTTTTTTTTTTTTTTTTTTTGAGACAGGGTCTTGCTCTGTCACCTAGGCTGGAGTGCAGTGGTGCAATCTTGACTCACTGCAGCGTTAACCTCCCAGGCTCAAGTGATCCTCCCACCTCAGCTGCCTCAGCAATTCCTCACTCCTGAAACCACCCCCAATCCTTTCCCCCATTAGTTGGGACTACAGGCATGAGCCACCTCACCTAACTTTGCATTTTTTGTAGAGACGAGGTTGTGCCATGTTGCCCAGGCTAGTCTCAGACTCCTGAACTCAAGAGGTCTGCCTGCCTTGGCCTCCCAAAGTGCTGGGATTACAGGAATGAGCCATTGTGCTGGGTCAATTCATCTGCTAACTTATTTTTACTAATGGTAGTCCTTAGTTCTCAGGCTTTATTGCATAAGCACACCTTAAAGAATACAAGCCCCCGCTGGGCGTGGTGGCTCATGCCTGTAGTCCCAGCACTTTGGGAGGCTAAGGCGGGTGGATCACCAGGTCAGGAGTTCAAGACCAGCCTGGCCAAGATGGTGAAACCTCATCTCTACTAAAAATACAAAAATTAGCTGGGCATGGTGGTGGGCACCTGTAGTTCCAGCTGCTTGGGAGGCAGAGGCAGAGAATTGCTTGAACCTGGGAGGTGGAGGTTGCAGTGAGCCGTTATCGTGCCACTGCACTCCAGCCTGGGCGACAGAGTGAGACTCTGTCTCAAAAAAAAAAAAAAAACAAGCCCCAGAGAAAACATTTCTAGATCAGTGCCTTCCATCATTTGACCTGGAATCCCTCTCTGTCACCTTGCCCTTTCCACCTCCCCTCTATGTACTCTTTGTTTTTTTGAGATAGAGTTTCGCTCTTGTTGCCTAGAGTTTAGTGGAGTGGTGGTCTCGGCTCCCTGCAACCTCTACCTCCCGGGTTCAAGCGATTCTGCTGCCTCAGCCTCCGAGTAGCTGGGATTACAGGCGTGGGCCACCATGCCCAGCTAATTTTGTATTTTTAGTAGAGATGGGGTTTCTCCATGTTGGCCAGGCTGGACTCAAACTCCTGACCTCAGGTGATCCACCTGCCTCGGCCTCCCAAAGTGCTGGATTACCAGTGTGAGCCACCGCACCCAACCCAAACTCTCTTTTAAGCCCAGACCTCCACACCCGTCCAAAGGTAGGATACAAGTTTTTCTCCATTGAGAAAAGTGATGGTTATACCTTTTCTTAAAAACAAACTGATACAGCACTTTGGGAGGCCGAGACGGGCGGATCACGAGGTCAGGAGATCGAGACCATCCTGGCTGACACGGTGAAACCCCGTCTCTACTAAAAATACAAAAATTAGCCGGGCATGGTGGCGCGCGCCTGTAGTCCCAGCTACTCGGGAGGCTGAGGCAGGAGAATGGCGTGAACCCGGGAGGCGGAGCTTGCAGTGAGTCGAGATCGCGCCACTGCGCTCCAGCCTGGGTGACAGAGCGAAACTCCGTCTCAAAAAAAAAAAAAAAAAAAAACTGATAACAATATTGACTAATTAAAACCAGTCCATGCCAGGCACCAGGAAAAGAGCCTCATATGAACAATTAGCTGATCATATCCTCTTTTTTTTTTTTGATGGGGTCTTGCTGTGTTGCCCAGGCTGGAGTGCAGTGGTATGACCTCAGCTCACTGCAGCCTCCACCTCTCGGTTCCAGCGATTCTCCTGCCTCAGCCTCCTGGGTAGCTGGGATTACAGGCATGCACCACCACACCCAGCTAATTTTTGTATTTTTAGTAGAGACGGGGTTTTGCCATGTTGGCCAGGCTGGTCTCGAACTCCTGACTTCAGGCAATCTGCCCCCCTCGGCCTCTCAAAGTGATGGGATTACAGGCGTGAGCCACTGTACCCAGCTGGTCAAATCCTCCTTGATATGATCTGCAATAGTTATTGCTATTATCCCCATTTCTCAGATGGGAGAATTGAGACCAGAACCATAAGGAAACTTGCTTGAGATTACAATGCTGTTAGTAAGTGGTTAAGTGTCTGTTAGTAAGTGGTTAAGTCAAGATTTAAATGAACCATTCTGAATCCAGGTTCCCCAAGATTAACAACTGGGCTTTATCTCCTCCATCGACAACAGAAGGAGGCTTACAGATTTGGGAAAGACCGCTAGAGGAAGTGATTATAGGAAAACAGAGAAAAGAGTGAGGCTATCAGCGTCTCACCTCTCCAAACTGCCTGTTGTAATTCAGGCATTCACTTTTTCTCCCACAGGTTTGTATCAACTGAGACTTCTACTGTTCCACACCTCCAGTCTGGTCACTCTGGGGTCAATCTACTATGCTGGAGTCCTTCTGTTGTGCTAAGGGAGATCCTTCTGATACCAAATCTCACTATCCAATTAGTATATTATTGAAATACACAGGAACAAGTAGGGGAAGTATACATTATTCAAGAAATGGGGCTGGAATGATTGCCTACCATTCAGGAAAAAAATTATGTGCACCCACACATAACAATTGGAATCCTACCTCAGACCCTGTGCAAAGTAAACTCTAGGTGATTTACATATTTAAAAATAAATGAGGCCAGACGTGGTGGCTCATGCCTGTAATCTCAGCACTTTGGGAGGCTGAGGCTGGAGGACTGCTTGAGTCCAGGAGTTCCAGACCAGCCTGGGCAACATGCTGAAAACTCGTCTCTACAAAAAATACAAAAAAACCAGCCGGGCATGGTGGCCTGTGCCTGTATTCCCAGCTACTTGGGAGGTTGAGGTGAGGGCATTACCTGAGCCCGGGAGGCTGAAGCTGCAGTGAGCCGAGATGGTGCCATTGCACTCAACCCTGGGCAACCAGCGCGAGACCCTGTCTCAACAAAAAGTAAAAATAAAACCATATTGGAAAAATTGCTCTTTTTCCGGTTGTGGCGCTGCGTGGTAGGGAGCTCTAATCTACCTAGCCAGGCCATCCAAGGGCCGGCTGCAGTCTGTTTAGGTCTTCAGACACAAGAAGAAAGCCACAGCTGTGGTGCATGGCAAACGCCCTAATGGCCTGGTCAAGGTGAACTGGCGGCCCTGGAGACAATTGAGCCAGGCAGGCTGCAATACAAGCTGCTAGAACCAGTGCTGCTTCTGGGCAAGGGGCGATTTGTTGGTGTGTACATTCATGAAGGGTGATGGGTGATGGTCATGTGGGTCCTATATGTACTATCTGTCAGTCCATCTCCAAAGCCCTTGTGGCCTGTTGCCAGAAATATGCGGGCGGGTGAGGGCTCACGCCTGTAATCCCAGTACTTTGGGAGGCCGATGCGGGTGGATTGCTTGAGCCTAGGAGTTTGAGGTCAGCCTGGGGAACAGCGCAAAACCCCCTCCCTCTACAAAAAAAATGCAAAAATTAGCCGGCCGTGGTGGCGCGCGACAGTGGAACCAGCTACTTGGGAGGCTGAGATGGGAGGATCCTTGAGCCCAGGAGGCGGAGCTTGTAGTGAGCTGAGCTCATGCCACTGCTCTCCAGCCTGGATGACAGAGCCAAACCTTATCTCAAAAAAAGAAAAGAAAACCCTATCTCAAAAAGAAAAGAAAAATAGAAAAGAAATATGTCGATGAGGCTTCCAAGAAGGAGATCAAAGACATCCTCATCCAGTATGACATGTATCCTTCTGGCAGCTGACACTGGTTGCTGCAAGTCCAAAGTTTGGAGGCCCTAGTGCCCATATTCGCTACCGTGAATCCTGCCAATAAGCCCATCAAGAGGATCAGAATTCACTTGTATAATATACAATGTTTGAGGGATTTTAAAGTTTCAAAAAAAAAAAAAAAGAAAGGATTTTGCAAAAATATCAGTTATAACAGATTGGCAGGCTTTACTATATAAAAAGCTAATGGCCGGGCATGGTGGCTCACGCTTGTAATCCCAACACTTTGAGAGGTTGAAGCTGGTGGATCACCTGAGGTCAGGAGTTCGAGACCAGCCTGGCTAACATGGTGAAACCCCATCTCTACTAAAAATACAAAAAAAAAATTAGCCAGGTATGGTGGTGCGCACCTGTAATCCCAGCTACTGGGGAGCCTGAGGCAGGAGAATCGCTTGAACCTGGGAGGCAGAGGTTGCAGTGAGCTGAGATCATGCCATTACACTCCAGCCTGGGTGACAGAGAGAGACTCCGTCTCAAAAAAAAAAAAAAAAAACCATAAACAATTAAAATTCACATGTCTAAAAAAAGAAAACCCACCACAAGTAAAGTTAAAAGGGTAAAACCAAATACTGGAAAAATATTTGTGATGTAACAGAAGAAAATTTAATATCTTTGCTATATAGAGCATTCTTGCAAAATCACAAGGAAAACATAACAGCAAAGTGGACAAAGTAGGTGAAACCAATTAAAGAGATAAAAATGACCAACAAATACATTTTAAAAATTTAGTCTCGGCTGGGTGCGGTGGCTGACGCCTGTAATCCCAGCACTTTGGGAGGCCGAGGTGGGCGGATCACGAGGTCAAGAGATCAACACCATCCTGGCCAACACGGTGAAACCCCATCTCTACTAAAAATACAAAAATTAGCTGGGCGTGGTGGTGTGCGCCTCTAGTCCCAGCTACCGGGGAGGCTGAGGCGGGAGAATCGCTTGAACCCGGGAGGTGGAGGTTGCAGGTAGCCAAGATGGCGTCACTGCACTCCAGCCTGGTGACAGAGCGAGACTCCATCTAAAAAAAAGAAAGTTTAGTTTCGTTAGTCATCAAAGACGTAAGTAAAGCAAGACACATTTTTCACCAATCATGTGGACAAAAAATGGTGCCAACATATACCTCTAGTGGTAAGCTGATCCCTTTGAGGAAGACAATTTTTTTTCTCCTCCCCCGGCAACCCCCAGCCTTTAAAAAAAACATAGAGACAGGGCCTCCCTATGTTGCCGAGGCTGGTCCTGAGCTCCTGGACTCAAGTGATCCTCCCACCTTGGCCTCCCAAACTGCTGGGGTTACATGGTGCCCCGCTAGGAGGACAATTGTGGAACTTGAACCTGTAAAAAAAAAAAAAAAAAATGAGTGTCACCCTGAATACTAGGAATGTATTTTGAGGATAGATTTAATAGTCAGGAACTTCGAGTCTTTGGATGAGATAAGAACCACATGTTGTTTGTAACCTGTGCCTGCTTGTCTCTCCAGGAGTTCGGGAGCCCAGCCTGCTGAGAAATGAGTCTTGCTCCCAATGATGCCCATAAATTTTACAAAGGGTCAAGCAGAGAATATCGCTCAGGGAGTGTTTGATGACACCTGGGTAAATGATTAGAAGCAATAAAAGACATAAACAGAGGTTTCTATTAGGAGAGCAAGGAGATGCCTGCCCATAGCTTGAGGTACACTTGCTTGGTAGTAAAAACTATGGAGCTTCCTAGCCACTATCCTCCTGCACCAGTCAACTCCCCTGGGAGCTGGGGAGAGAGGAAAATTTGGGTAGATCCTGTCAATTTGCTTTCTAGACTTCAGTCAATCCAGCTTAGAAGAAATCCAGTGGACAGACCAATATTTATTCCCCAAACAGCAAATGAGAGCAGGAGTTACGTTACATTCTCACCAACACTGAGTACTACCTCACTACCTCACTGAGTATTCCATTTTATTCAACTCTTGAATGTGCAGGTATCTCCTGGTAGTTTTAATTTGCATTTCCCTCATGCACCTTTTCATATGTTTATTGGCCATTTGAATATACTGTGTGTGTGTATGTGTGTAAAGTGCTCATTCACTGTTCTCCTCTTTCTTCTTTTTCTTTTTTGCCCATTTTTTTTCTATTGGGTTGTCTATCTTTTTTTTTTTTTTTTTTTTTTTTTTTGAGACGGAGTCTCACTCTTGTCGCCAGGCTGGAGTGCAGTGGCATGATCTCTGCTCACTGCAACCTCTGCCTCCCGGGTTCAAGTGATTCTCCTGCCTCAGCCTCCCCAGCAGCTGGGACTACAGGCACATGCCACCACGCCCAGCTAATGTTTGTATTTTTTTAGTAGAGACGGGGTTTCACCATGTTGACCAGGATGGCCTCGATTTCTTGACCTCGTGATCTGCCCGCCTCGGCCTCCCAAAGTGCTGGGATTACAGGCGGGAGCCACCGTACGTGGCTGTTTTCAATTTCTTAGTGGTGTCCTTTGATGAACAGTTCTCATTTCTAAAGTAGTTAAATTTATCAAGTTTTCTCTTTATGGTTAGTACTTTTTATGTTCTATTTAATAGACATATTTACAAAGCCTTATTGTTTTACTTTTAAACATTCTAACATTCAGATCTGTAACCCATCTGGAATTGATTTTAATGTGTGGTTAAGCTTTTTTTTTTTTAAATTTGTTTATCCAATCGATCTGGCTCCATTTATTGAAAACATCGTCCTTTCTTGTCTGCATTGCAATGTCACCTATATTGTAAATCGGGTAGCTTATAATTGTGAATCTGCTTCCGGATTCTCTCTTCCAATCCTTTGGCTTATTTGTGCCAACACCACACTGTCGTAATTACTGTAGTTTTATAATACATAGTACTGTAAGACTTGCAGCCTTGTTCTTCAAGATTGTCTGGATGTTTTTTGGCCCTTTCTATTTTCATATACATTTTAGAATCAGCTTGTCAACTTCCACAATCACCTTTAAAACCATTTGGCAGTATCCACTAAAGCTGAACAATTGTACTCTTAAGTAAATACCTAACAGAAAGAAATATACAAAGAATATTCATAGCAACTCTATTCATAAGAGCCCCAAATTAGAAACAACCCAAATGTCCACCCACAGTAGAATGAATACATAAATAACTGGTGTAGGCCGGGCGCGGTGGCTCACGCCTGTCATCCCAGCACTTTGGGAGGCCGAGGCAGGCGGATCATCCGAGGTCAGATGAGACCAGCCTGGCCAACATGGTGAAATCCCATCTCTACTAAAAATACAAAAATTAGCCGGGCATGGTGGTGTGTACCTGTAATCCCAGCTACTCCAGAGGCTGAGGCAGGAGGATTGCTTGAACCCGGGAGTCAGAGGTTGTAGTGAGCAGAGATTGCGCCACGGCACTCTAGTCTGGGAGACCAAGCGAGACTTCATCTCAAAACAAAACAAAACAAAACCATGGCTAAAGCTGGCCAACATAGTGTTTAATGCAGTAAACCCAAACCAAGAGAGTTCATGTTGTAATTTCATTTATAACAAGTTCATAAACTAGTAAAGCTACTCTATGGCATTACAAGTTAGGAAAGTAATGACATTTGAGGATGGTGGGCTATGGTGCAGGGCTTCTGGGGTACTGGATGTATGTTATCTTTCACTTTGTGAGGATTCAGACACCAGTGTGCGCCTTTCTATAGGCATCTTATACTTCAACACAAAGTTAACTTAAAAATTAATTCAATGTGACAACATACACTGAAGGCTTAACATATGCAGGGAATCTCATCCTGCATTGGTGTGGGAGCCAGATATCAGGGTAAGTAAGAATACAATGTGGCTACTGCCCTGGGGTAAGTTCAGGGATGGAGGGTAGGTAATGGGGGATGGAAAAGGATGGAGAGTCAAGCCTTCAACATTTTGCAAAGCATAGTGGGTGCCAAAGGACCACTGAATTTGCCTTGCCTGGGGGTTGGAGAAGTTGTGTTGGTTATTGAGTGCTAAGTAGGATTTCAACTACTGTGGTCAAGGAGCTGTTAGTGTTTTTTAGGCTAGAAAATAGAAACATATGAAACTAATGCGCTAAATTGTATTTTAAATGTGAAACAAGATTTAAGTTTAATTTAAGCCCTGACTGATTTCCTTAGAACACTGGGATAGTGGGTGTATTGTAATCTGGATGTTGAATTAAAAAATCTCTAAAACCTCTAATATAAGAAAAGTTGATATGTTGATCTCTTTATCGTCTGTTCTTGGGGACACTGAACAAGTTACTAACCAACGTCATTGGTTGGACGTGGCCTCACCAAAGAAGTAGTGAAATGAAGTTATATTTGTTAAAACAACAATTTAAAAAACTCCAAAAACCCAGGATTCCCTGGATAGTAAGGTATTACCAATGCAGCCCACGAGAGAGGTATACTCATAGGTAAGGTGGGGGGCGGGGGAAATGGTAGATACTATGAAGCAACCAGGGAAGGAGAGTTGGAATTTTCTGTCTAATTGTTGGCAATCTGGGGAAATCCCAAAGGACCAAATGTTCTGGAAGAAATTTTGTGCAATAAGAATGTCCCCAAACTGGCCGGGCGTGGTGGCTCATGCCTGTAATCCCAGCTACTTGAGAGGCTGAGGCAGAAGAATCGCTTGAACCCGGGGGGCAGAGGTTGCAGTAAGCTGAGACAGCTGAACTGCACTTCAGCCTGGGCGACAGAGCAAGACTCCATGTCAAAAAAGAAAAAAAGAATGTCCCCAGATTAGACCTTCAGTTTAATTCAGTCCTTCTGAGACGCCCCCAGCCCAGGAAAGGTAATTTGATTACTTCCTTAGAAATGTAAACCAACTCCATTCCACCACCTGTAGGTCACAGCCAGAGCCACAGCCAGTCAGGGGAGGACTTGGTTACTTACACAACGTGAAGGGAACTGCTATTTCAAAGCCACTTTATTGCAAAGCATCTCAGCCTGGAAAAAGTGTGTAATGGAAAGGACTCTAGAGACAGACAGATAAGGGCTCCAATTCTACCTTGGCCATTTACCCATTCTATGACCTTGGAATGCCACACCAAAACTTCTCCGTGCCTCAGTTTCCTTTTCTGAAAAATGAGGACAATCACATACACCTTAAACAACAGACACCTTGTTGTAAGAATGAACTTTACTATATTTAAATCACTTAACACAAAATCTGGCACATAACAGGCCTTCACTCAATAATCATAATATTATTATTTTCACAATGCTTTCTGGCTGATGTCATGCTGGACAATAAATGCAGCATTGAGCATCTCCTTTTCTAGGTCACTGTGTCCACAGTTAGAGAGAGAAGCCAAATGGCATGTTCACTTGGAGCCAGGCTCAGTCCTCAGGCAAACAATGGGAAATAGGCAATTAAGCAAGGAGTAGTGCCAACCTATTGATTGGTCTGTCTCTGCTTAAGAGCCCTGAAAACTCGATATGGTATGTTTTGAGCTTTTTTTCTTTTCTTTTCTTTTTTTTTTTCAGAATGACTAACAGTGAAAAATACATTTTGTGTTGATGTTAGTAATATGTGTTTATGGATAAAACAAACATTTCACAAGACAATACTTATTAACTGTAATGCACCCTGGCATTTTGTATTCTAAACTATTCTATTTCTCCATTTTAAAAAAAATGGTTGCAGGTCAGGCACAGAGGCTCACGCCTGTGATCCCAGCACTTTGGGAGGGCGAGACAGGTGGATCACCTGAGGTCAAGAGTTCAAGACCAGCCTGGCCAACGTGGTGAAACCCCATCTCTACAAAATACGAAAATTAGCTAGGCATGATGGTGGGTGCCTGTAATCCCAGCTACTCAGGAGGCTGAGGCAGGAAAATCACTTGAACCTGGCAGGCGGAGGTTGCAGTGAGCTGAGATCACGGCATTACACTCTAGTCTAGGCAACAGAGCGAGACTCCATCTCAAAAAAAAGAAAAGGTTGCAACCCACTAGATTGATTTTATTATTTATGAATGGATCAAAATTTGCAGTTTGAAAGACACTACTCTCATCCAGTTCCTCAGATGGAAGATGAGGAAACTGAGGCTCAGAAGGGGAAAGAGTTGCTTAAGTAAAATAGCGAGTGGCACAGGACTGAGCCGAGACATGTGGATCCCACAGCTCTAGCTTTTCCACAAACCACTTCATGGAGATGAACCTCCAGGTTCTGCTGTGTAAACAGTGGCACTTCTAACATGGTAGGTTAGAAGGGACTTTTTTTTTTTTTAATTGTAAAAGGGTCCACAAAAGCTCATAAGCACACAACCCTTGCAACAGCAGGCTCATTGCTAAAAGGAGACACTTGGCCAGGCACAGTGGCCCAGGCCTGTAATTCCAGCACTTTGGGCAGCCGAGGATGGAGGATCCTTTGAGCCTAGCAGTTCAAGACCAGCCTGAGCAACGTAGTGAGACTCCCTGTCTCTATAAAAATCAAATAAAAATAAAAATAAATAAAAAGAGGCACTAGGGTATTTTCTCTTGGAGTTCAGTGCTTCACCTTCACCTGCCAGTGTAAGCAGAAGTTTCATTTCTTTCCTAGCAGCCTCTAGAACAACCCAAGATGTGGTCAGAACTACTTGTTCCTCTTGAAGAACTAAGTGGTTCAAGATCTTGTCCTCCTTTCTGCAAACAGCAAGGCAGTTTGCCCATCTGCCCCCAGGCCTGCCACTGTTTGCAATGCTGAGAAAAAGATGTCAGACATTAAGGAGCTATCTTGACCGTGAGAGCAGGGGAGGCTGGTAAGATGACCTCACGGGCAGTTTCTGTTGTGGATTTCACTTTTCACAGGTTGCACTTTCACCTTGACAGAAAGGGAAGGCCAAAGTCTCCTTAGAGTTCACTTTAGATGGGGCTTCTGAATCTTTGCTCCATGCTCCCGAAGAATTTATTGCTGGTACCTTATTACTCTTTTCCCATTCTGCTTTTTATTCATGATTCCCATTCTAGTCATATTTACCCTATGAGGAATACACTCTGAATCTTGTTCATCTTGCTATGGGACTTGGCCCAGTAAATGTGGGTTAAATCAAAGTGAGCTATGAGATTTCCTAAGATTTTCATTCCCTTAAGCTAAATTTTGTCTTTTGGTTTTTTATTTAGAAAAGACATGGACCATTGCTCTTATATCCGCTGCCACTCTAAAGCCCAGGCATCAGATCTAAGTGGCTTCTAGGTCAAGTGTGGTGGCTCACGCCTGTAATCCCAGCACTTTGGGAGGGCGAGGCAGGTGGATAACTTGAAGTCTGGAGTTTGAGACCAGCCTGACCAACATAGTGAGACTCTGTCTCAAAAATAAATAAATAAATAAATAAAAAGATAAAAGTGTAATTTATAAATTAGGCACAGTAAGAGACTAACTTAAAGGAAGCACTTTACAGCTTATGTTTGGCATATTTAGACTGTCAGCATCACCATTCTTGCTCTTTGGGGACATTGTTAAGTAAATTAAGGATGACTTGAACACAAGCACTGAGTTACCACAGCAGTCTAATGGATCATGCAGACAGCTACTAAGTGGCTAATGGGTGTGTAGCCTGTGTCAATGCAGTGGACAAAGGAATGATTCATGTCCTCGCCGGACAGAGTGGGATAGTGAGAGATTTCATCACGCTACTCAGAATTGTGTGCAATTTAAAACATGAATTATTTCCAGAATGTTTCTTTTTGTTATTTTTAAAAAGTAAATATTTATTTACTTATTTATTGTTCGTTTTTAAAGATGAGGTCTTGCTCTATTGCATAGGCTGGTCTGAAACTCCTGGGCTCAAATGATCCTCTTGCCTCAGCCTTCCAAAGTGCTGGTATCATAGGCATGAGCCACCATGCCTGGCCTTTGAATATTTCTTCTCCTTTTTTTTTTTTTTATGTTATTTAGCTTTGATTTCACCATCATAAACTTAACTCTGCAATCCAGCTAGACATGGAAGGCAATAAGGAAGATATGGAACCCAGGAACTGCAGTGAGAGCACAAAGATCAGAGGATAGTGTGAGCAAATGAGGTGGAGGGGTACTCACCTGAAATACAGAAGGAATGGTCTGGTGGTTAAGATAAAACACAAGTCAAATTTATTAGCCAGCAATGGGGATCTTCTTGCTGGTCTTGCCATTCCTAGACTAAGAGTGCTCCATGGCATCCATGATATCCATGCTGTCCTTCACCTTGTCAAAGACCACGTGCTTGCCATCCGACCACTCAGTCTTGGTGGTGCACATGAAAAACTGGAAGCCTTTTGTGTTGGGTCCAGCATTTGCCATGGACAAGATACCAGGACCTTTGTGCTTCCGGATGAGGTTCTCATCATCAAATTTCTCCCCATAGATGAATTTGCCACCAGTGTCATTATGGCATGTGAAGTCACCACCCTAACTCATAAACTGTAGAATAATTCTATGAATTCAGGAACCCTTATAACCAAATCCTTTCTCTCCAGTGTTGAGAGCATGAAAGTTTTCTGCTGTTTTCGGAATTTTGTCTGCAAACAGCCTGAAGGAGACGTGGCCCGTGGACCACGATGTCAAAGAATATGGTGGGGTTGACTATAGCTGGTGGCAAGAGGCTCTGGATGGCACTGAAGTCTCCAAAGCTGGAATATTTCATTTAGTATTTTCAGACCTTTGCTGACCTCCGGTAGCTGAAACTGAAGAAGGCAAAGCCTCCAATAAGGGGGAGCTACTGTATTCTAAAGAAAGCAAACACGTAAATAAATGGGTAAACACAGCAAAATGTAAGCAAATGAGATAATGTGTGACAGTGTATACGTACGAAGAAAATAAAAAGGGGCTGGGCACTGTGGCTCACACTTGTAATCCTAGCACTTTGGGAGGCCGAAGTGGGCAGATCACCTGAGGTTGGGAGTTCGAGACCAGCCTGACCAACATGGAAAAACCCCGTCTCTACTAAAAATACAAAATTAGCTGGGTGTGGTGGCGCATGCCTGTAATCCCAGGTACTCAGGAGGCTGAGGCAGGAGAATTGCTTGAACCCAGGAGGCGGAGGTTGCAGTGAGCCGAGGTTGTGACATTGCACTCCAGCCTGGGCAACAAGAGTCAGACTTCATCTCAAAAAAAAATAAATAAATAAATAAAAGAAAATAAAAAGGATAATGAGATAGAATGCCAAGGTATTTTAGAAGTAGATAACATGAGCAGAGACCTGAGTTGCAAACACGGAAGTAGCTGGCAGAGCATGGCAGGCAGTGTTGAGAGAGGCCAGGAGAGCTGGACACCAGAATGCTTGCTGGCCCAGGAGGCAGGGGGAAAGGCAACTGGAAGGCGAAAGGTAACAACAGCTCAGTCCTACCTTGAGTATCTTCTATATTCATGGAACTACTTTTAGGCCTCAGTGAGGTTCATAGGTTTTCTTTCTTTCTTTTTTCTTTTGTTTTGAGATGGAGTTTCACTCTTGCTGCACAGGCTGGAGTGCAGTGGCGCGATCTTGGCTCACCGCAACCTCCACCTCCCGGGTTTAAGCAATTCTCCTGCCTCAGCTTCCCAAGTAGCTGGGATTACAGGCATGTGCCACCACACCTGGCTATTTTTGTATTTTTAGTAGAGATGGGGTTTCTTCATGGTGGTCAGGCTGGTCTCGAACTCCCGACCTCAGGTGATCCGCCCGCCTCGGCCTTCCAAAGTGCTGGTAATACAGGCGTAAGCCACCGTGCCTGGCCCATATTTCAAGTGCAATGGGAATGTATCACTTTAATATTATCTTTCTGACTTCTCTTCCTGCAAGCTACAGATTTCTGTCTCTACCTTTCAAAGACTTCCCCACTTTAAGGCATTTTCAGAGCCAACTGCTACTACATTTCAGGGCAAGTCTTGTATTTTAGTTTTAAATTAAAACAAAACAAAACAAAGCTGTATCCTTTGTGCAAACAACATTGTGACAAAAGATAAAGGAAAAGCAATCACTTCCCTATCTCTCCACCATAAGTAGCAATACCAACTCTCATCTTCCATATGATGTTCCAGTACTTGCAAATATGTGTAATTTTTAAATACTTCCTTAGGTGAGAACAAGCCATGGCAGGGAGCAAAACAGAACTAAATTACCAGTTAATACATCCACTCCCTTTTTCCTCCTCCAGCCTACCCAAAGTACATCTAACTTTGTACTGAGCCGGCATTGTGCAAATTGTTTTAAGTGCATTATCTCAAATAATCAACATAACAACCCTGTGAGGTATGTGCTATTATTATTCTCATTTTACAGAAGATACGCGGAGGCTTAAACAGATTAAATAAATTGCCTAGGATTATGTAAATTGTCACTGACAGTAGGCAGGACTCAAATCCAAAATACCAAAGCTGTTGTGCTCTAGATCCTGATCTAAGACCCTCTCTCTGGGGCTGCATTAGTTACTGGAAGGCCCCACCCACCCCGGTTCTGCTTAAACAGAAATTTCTGCCTTTGCCTAGTAGGGCCAAAAAATGGACTATCATCGGGTTTCCTTCGTATTTATCTCACAAACTTACTGTAAATAATGTTGATCATTCACATGCATACAGCTTTGTAAACAGATACTATTTACCAAATTCTTTCAAATGTATTACCTCACTTGATGCTGACAAGATAACCACCGAAGGAGGGCTCTCTTAGTGTCCCTAGTTGAACTGATGAAGAGGACGGGAAACTGAAGTGACCAGTTCAAGGTCAGACTGCAGGGGTCTTCTGCTGCCAGACTGGGCACATGAGGGTTGGGTTGGGTGGCTCATATTATCAGTAGATGACTAAATGTTTTTTTTCCTTTGAGACGGAGTCTTGCTCTGTCGCCCAGGCTGGAGAGCAGTGGCGGGATCTTGGCTCGCTGCAACCTCCGCCTCCCGGGTTCAAGCAGTTCTCCTGCCTCAGCCTCCCAAGTAGCTGGGATTACAGGAGCGCGCCGCCATACCCCGCTTATTTTTATATTTTTAGTAGAGACATGGTTTCTCCACTGTTTCTCTCTTTTTTTTTTCTTTTTCTTTTCTTTTTTTCCTTTTCTGTCAGTGCTTGTTGCTGTGGCTGATATTACCCAGGCAGAAGAAGAACAAATGTCCTTAATTTGCTTCTTCATAAAGGGCTTATACTATTGAGTGCTCCAAGACTTGCTTGCCCCTTGGAAACCATTTGCTGTTTCCTATGTCACTGTCTTCCAAAGAATCCTGTGAAGTAATGCAGGCATACTATGTCCAAAGTGACCAGCTGGGTCAAGGCAAAGTTGAGCTGCTTAATTGGCTGTTCCAGTTTTTCTTCTATCACAGATCATCCATGATACCAGCCAAAAGCAACTCTGCTGCCCATTTGAGCAAGGGCATTGAAGCTCACAAAAGGCTCATGAAGTTAACAGCACACAAAGGGCTTTCATATCTCTTACCTTAACAATCCCTAGCAGGGGAGGCCATCCTGTTATTTGTCACTGAGGCTGGAGTGCAACGGCACGATCTTGCCTCACTGCAACCTCTGCCTCCTGGGTTCAAGCGATTCTCCTGCCTCAGCCTCCCAAGTAGCTGGGACTACAGGATCCCACCATCATGCCTGGCTAATTTTTGTATTTTTAGTAGAGATGGGATTTCACCGTGTTGGTCAGGCTGGTCTCGAACTCCTGACCTCAGGTGATCCGCCTGCCTTGGCCTTCCAAAGTGCTCGGATTACAGGTGTGAGCCACTGTGCCCACTCCATCCTGTTATTTGCATTAACCATTGCGTATAGATGAGGAAACTGAGTTCTAGAGACTACACAGAGCTAGTAAGTGACACAGTAAGAATTACAGTCTTACCGTGAATTATGAATCCAAGTTTAATCCATGCTTTTTCCAGTACACCATGCCTTTACCCCCCTCCCTGACAAAAAATAGCTATGAAACATTCAGCAACCCTGAAATTGTTGATTTACTGTAGTGCTCCCTCCTAGGATAATGCACCTTATAGATCTGTTTTCCAGGCACCATTTGAGCATCTGGCAAATGGGAGGATCTTTCCTCATGGCAGCTGGAAACCAGCAAGTAAAACATTTACCAGGTTATTGACATAATGAGTCTGGGTGTTTGTTTAGGTATCAGGCAGTTATTGATTGCTTTTTAACACTGTTTTGAAATGAAAATAAATGTGAGAATAAGCCCCTAAATGGCCCTAATAGAATGTCAAGACTAATCAATACTTGAGTATGATAAATTTATAATCCTGGGAGGGACTGCTGAGGGGAACCATTAGTTCTGTCTGACTGCATAATGGGGTTGGGGGCTTACAGGATGGGAAGGCTTTTAGGAGGCCTCTGAGGAGGAACCAGAGGAGGGGGCAAGGGCAGGGGTTAGTCAGTAGATGAAGAATCAGGAACTTCTTGCGGATGGTCTCATGTCAGTTACAGGACTCTTTGTTGTTGATACCCAAGGGCAACAGCATATTTTAGCCACTTTAAATGAGGTTGCCTTCTAAGAAAGGAACTATCAACTAGGATGAAACCAGAGATATGCAAATCTCTGGTAAAGACAGAACAGCTGACTAGATCAAGGCCCTCCACAATTTTAGCATTTCTAAAGAAAGATTGCGTCCATCTAATGGAGGCTGGAGTCATTCCTGGAATTTTGGAAAATAGGAACTATTATTGATGGGGACTTGGAGTCTTTCTCTATTAAAGTACTAATTTTTAGATCACATGACCATAACATAGGACCCTTCAAGACTGTAATGTGGCTTCTCAAGGGCCGGTCTGTCTACAGGGAGAACTTCTCCCAGTCCTGCCCATGGGGGCCAGGAGCCTGCTGAAGCTGGGAACCTGTGGGAGCAGTTAGTGGGCAAGAAAAGCTCGGGAGGACGAAGTGAGCATCAGCTGTAAGGAGGAAGGAGGAAGGAAACCAGACTGACAACTGGGTTTGATCAACCAAAGATCACAGTGACCTTGTTAAGAACTGTTTTGGGAGTAGGATGGGCCTGATGCCAGTTTTGAAGCTGTGCAGGGAGAGCTAAGGCCATAACTGGAGGGGAAGTCGGGTGAAAGGATTACTTATTTTTTAATTTTTCAGTGTGAGAAACCTGGGCATGTTTGGATGTTGACAGGAAGGGCTGGTGGAAAGAGTTGATTGCAGACACCTTAGGGAGAGGAGTTGTTGGTTAGTGTGATGCTCCTGGGCAGATGGATGGGGAGGTGGCAGACTTAGGTGAAAGGAAGAAGGGAGGCAGGCCCAGAAGTGTGGATGAGGAACACTGGGACTGTAGGATGGGGTCTTCTTTGCTCAGGGTGAATGAGCCTGTTTGGGGTGCATGAGGCTGTTAGTTTGAGGAAGGGGTGGAGGGGCTTAGAACCCATTGTTGAGAGAAATGTGAGGAAGTGTCTCCAACAGGGGAGAGAAAAAGGCTTCCTAAAGTACGTTTCAGGCCCAGCATGAGCCCCCTCTCCCCAGTTCATCTGTAAGGGCCAGCCTCTGCCAAGAAACACAATGTCTCTCTGTCATCAATGATGCAACCGTGAGTAAGAGGCACTGAATCCTGTTTCCGACATAAAAATGAAAGTGATATAAGACACAGAGCCATTGTGAAATCTAGACAAATCTTTAACTATTTGTCATTTAGCACATTGCTTTGCTCACCCTGTGTCTTCGTTTTCCCAAAGGTGGACAACTCACTGAGGGCCCTCAGCCCTTCCTCAGCTCACAAGCGGGACCTCAGGTCTATAAACAGTTTCAGGAGGAAAGGGAAGCAGAATGAGGAAACGAGGCTCCAATGCCAAGCATTGGGGAGCCCGGAAAGACCACATTTCCAAGAATTCCAGGCCCGGAAGTAGGAGCTGGTGAGCGCTTCTTTAAGTCAACCCATTAGGTATCAATAAGATGAACAGGACAATTACTCTGGGGTCAGTTACTCCCCTTCCAGAAGGAATCTTCACTGTGGCTTACTCATTGCTAGCAGGAATCCTTTAAATGCCAAGCTTCCTAGTGCGTTTCATTAGGATTTTAATGTTCACAAACACAATTCCAGGATCATCTCCTGGGCATAATTAACAGGGCCAATTGGATGAGCCACTTTTCTTGGAGGTAGCTTGAGACTGGAATAGGGTTCTTATGCCTAGAGATGTAGAGGAAGAACTTTTTTTGAACTAGAAACTCCCTTCTCTAACAGGTGGATTTGTGACCTTCCCCTTCCCAAGACTTGCTTTGGGCTTGGGTAGAAGGAGAGCAGATTCCCAGAGATGGTCCTGGTTTATGGAAAAGGCATGAGCACAGTCCAGGAATGGATACTGTTGGTGACAGCAAATTAGAAATCCTAGCTGGAGGGTGAGCTGTGGTAGCAAGAGGAAGTTGTACATTTTATTTAGACTGGATTTGTGACATGCTGGCAGCATGTGAAAAATAACAGATAACGTAGATTTGTACATGCCATCTCGGGGGCTGGCATTGCAGTGGAGAAGGGAGGGCCAAAATGCCAGGATCCCAGTTCCACCAGTTTTGACAGTGTAACTTTTGGCTATTGTTTCTCTCATCTGGGAAAGGTCATAATAATACCCTGAGGGTCACTCCAAAGATTGGAATAATTTAATTTGAAGTTCTGTGCAAATTAAGGGACCCATTACAAACATTAACTTTCTTGAAAAAAATCTGTATTATTTTATCATTATTGTTGTTTTCTTTTGTAGAGACAGGGTCTCACTATATTACCCAGGCTGGTCACATACTCCTGGCCTCAAGCAATCCTCCCACTTTGGCCTCCCAAAGTACTGGCATTACAGGAGTGAGCCACCACACCCAGGCTTAATTCTTATAGGCAGAGGCTACACATAAGTATAAGCTTTTAAGAATTGAGGTGTGGACAACATTCATTTATTCTTAAAACTTTTTTTTTTTTTTTTTTTTTTGGAGATGGAGTCTTGCTCTGTCACCCAGGCTGGAGTGTAGTGGCCCGATCTCAGCTCACTGCAACCTCTGCCTCCTGGGTTCAAGTGATTCTCCTGCCTTAGCCTCCTGAGTAGTTGGGATTACAGGCACCCGCCACCATGCCCGGCCAATTTTTGCATTTTTAGTAGAGATGAAATTTCACTATGTTGGCCAGGCTGGTCTCGAACTCCTGACCTCAGGTGATCTGCCTGCCTCAGCCTCCCAAAGTGCTGGGTTTGCAGGTGTGAGCCACTGTGCTGGCCATATTCTTCAAAATTCTGATGTCACTCCGTATGTAGGAGGTACCATGCCAGATGCTTGGGATACATAAACAGTAAGATATAAATCTCTGCCCTGAAAATGCCAAGCATACTGGGGGAGGTGGAAAGCAGTGATCTCAATAAAATATAGTATAATTTGAGCATCCTTAATTCAAAAATTCAAAATCTGAAACTTTTTTTTTTTTTTTTTTGAGATGGAGGCTCGCTCTGTCGCCCAGGGTACAGGGCAGTGGCACAATCTCAGCTCACTGCAACCTCTTCCTCCTGGATTCATGCAATTCTCCTGCCTCAGCCTCCTGAGTAGCTGGGATTACAGGCATGCGCCACCTGTAATTTTTGTATTTTTCGTAGAGATGGGGTTTTGCCACGTTGGCCTGGCTGGTCTCGAGCTCCTGACCTCAGGTGATCCACCCGTCTTGGCCTCCCGAAGTGCTAGGATTACAGGTGTGAGCGACCATGCCTGGCCAAGATCAGAAACTTTTTGAGTGCCATCGTAACACCACAAGTGGAAAATTCCACACCTGACCTAATATGATAGGTCGCAGTCAAAACTATTTCTTGCACAAAATTGTTAAAAATTTTGTATAGAATTGCCATAGGCTATGTGTATAAGGTGTATATGAAACATAAATGAATTTTGTGTTTAGACTTGGGTCTCATCCCCAAGATATCTCATTATGTGTATGCAAATATTCCCAAATCTTAAATCCAAAACACTTCTGGTCTCAAGCATTTCAAATGAGGGATACTCAACCCATATGTGTTGTGAGAGCGAGGGGTAAAAGATGCACTCTGGTTTTGGGATGGGATTCCCGTGTGACCAGAGCTGACTTTTGAGCAGGCTCATTGGAGGCTGAGGAGGGAAGAAAGGCATTGCAGGTAGAGGCCGGGCACGGTGGCTCACGCCTGTAATCCCAGCACTTTGGGAGGCTGAGGCAGGCGGATCACCAGGTCAGGAGATTGAGACCATCCTGGCTAACACAGTGAAACCCCGTCTCCACTAAAAATACAAAAATTTAGCTGGGCATGGTGGTGGGTGCCTGTAGACCCAGCTACTCGGGAGGCTGAGGCAGGAGAATGGTGTGAACCCGGGAGGCGGAGCTTGCAGTGAGCCGAGATCACACCACTGCACTCCAGCCTGGGCGATAGAGCGAGACAAAAAAAAAATAAAAAAGGCATTGCAGATAGATGCAGCTGCATGAGGCATGGAACAGGATGGGCCATGGAACTCCTGGCCTCAAGTGATCCGATTGCCCTCGGCCTCCCTAAGTGCTGGAATTACAGGCGTGAGCCACCACACCTGGCCATATTTCTTTGTTTTTTGAGACAGGGTCTTACTCTGTTGCCCAAGCTGGAGTGCAGTGGTGCCATCATGGCTCACTGCAGCCTCGACCCCCACGTGATCCTCCCACTTCAGCATCCCAGATAGCTAGGACTACAGGCACATGACACCACACCTGGCTAATTTTTTAACTTTTTGTAGAGACAGGGTCTCGCCATGTTGCCCAGGCTGGTCCCCAGCTCCTGGCCTCAAGTGATCTTCCTATCAGCTTCCCAAAGTGGGACTATAGGTATGAGCCACCACGCATGGTCTCAAAACTATGTTTGGATTCAAGCAAAGGAACTTTTTTTGTTGTTTATAAAATATTAAGCCGGGTGTGGTGGCTTATGCCTATAATCCCAGCACTTTGGGAGGCTGAGGCAGGTGGATCACCTGAGGTCAGGAGTTTGAGACCAGCCTGGCCAACATGGTGAAACTCCATCTCTACTAAAAATACAAAACTTAACAGGGTGTGGTGGTGCACTCCTGTAATCCCAGCTACTTGGGAGGCAGAGAGGCAGGAGACTCACCTGAACCCGGGAGGCGGAGGTTGCAGTGAGCCAAGATTGAACCACTGCACTCCAGTCTGGGTGACAGAGCAAGACTCTGTTTCTTTAAAAAAAAAAAAAAGTTGCCATTGAGGTGTAGGTCTTTCCTTCCTTTTATCCCCTTAGGCTCAGCTTTCAGCTGACATCAGCCAGTGTAGAAGGCTCAACTTTTGGTTCATCTCTATGCCAAAATATTCTTGATCTTTGTACCTCTAAACCATCTACTTCTACTCAAAATACATGTATAATTATGCATTTAACCTATACCCAAATAATTGTTTCTCCTGGTTAAAACAGAATTTCCTTAGTTCTGATGACAGGTTGAGGGTGTAAGGTCACGGTTGTGCAGGGAGAAAGGCATATCTCAGCTCTTGAGCTCTGGAGGCAGATTGGCTTGAGGCCATCCAGGCTCCGTCACTGATGACATTAGTTGTATCATTTGGTCCTCTAGGGCTGAGTTTCTTCACCTGGGAAACAGACATTTTAGAAACTACTTTATAGGCCTATTATGTCTATTAAATGACATAATAAGTGTGAAAAATTGCTTGGTATGTTTGGAAGGGAAGAGGAATGTATGATGGAATGAGGAGTCCAGTGGTTTATGATACATATATATATACCATAAGTATAAATAATAACTTATACGTCATATACTTATGACAAATTATATACAACTATATCCTCTTCTCTATACTGCTCTTCCACTTCTAGATGGAAGAAGCTGTCTAAGGAATGATGAAGGTGAAAAAAACAAGTCATATTTAAATGTTCTCTTCTCTGTAATCCCAGCATTTTGGGAGGCTAAGATGAGAGGATTGCTGGAGGCCAGGAGTTCAAGACCAGTTTGAGCAGCATAGTGAAACTTTATCTCTAAAAATTAAAAAAAAAAATTGTTTTTGATTAAATATTCTCTTCTTAGACTCATTGCCTGAACACATGATCAAGTTACAGGGATGTTATCAGATATTCAAAAATATTTGAGGAGGCCGGGCGCCATGGCTCATGCCTGTAATCCCAGTACTTTGGGAGGCCGAGGCAGGTGGATCACCTGAGGTCAGGAGTTCAAGACCAGCCTGGCCAACATGGCGAAACCCCATCTCTACTAAAAAAAAAAACATACAAAAATTAGCCGGATGTGCTGGTAGTTGCCTGTAATCCCAGCTACTCTAGAGGTTGAGACTGGGGAATCACTGGAACCCAGGAGGCGGAGGTTGCAGTGAGCTGAGATCAGGCCACTGTACTCCAGCCTACCACAGAGGAAGACTCCGTCTCAAAAAAAAAAAAAAAAATTGAGAAGGTACAGCATGATGATGAAGAACATAGACTATATTTTCAGACAAACCAGAGTTCAAACCCCAACAATTCCTAGGTGTGTTTACTGCCCTGAGCTTTGGGTCTGTATTAGTAAAATGGGTATAATAATAGAGGTTTCAGATCAAAAAGCCATAGTATAGGGCCCACACAGTGGCTGATGTGTGTAATCGCAGCACTTTGGGAGGCCAAGGCAGGAGGACTACTTGAGCCCCGGAGTTCAAGATCAGCCTGGGCAATATAGCAAAACCCCGTGTCTATAAAAAAAAAAAATTATCTGGGCATGGCAGCACACACCTGTGGTTCTAGCTACTTAGAAGGCTGAGGCAGGAGAAATGTTTAGCCCAGGAATTTGAGGTTATAGTGAGCTCTGATCATGCCACTGCACTCCAGCCAGGATGACACAGACCCTATCTCTATTTTTTTTTTTTTGAAACGGTCTCATTCTGTCACTCAAGCTGGAGTGCAGTGGTGTGATCATGGCCCACTTCAGCCTTGACCTCCCAGGCTCAAGTGATCCTCCCACCTTGGCCTCCCAAGTAACTGGGACTACAGGCATAAGCTACCACACCCAGCTAATTTTTTAACTTTTTATATAGACAGGGTCTCCCTGTGTTGCCCAGACTGGTCTTGAACTCCTGGGCTCAAGCAGTCCTCCTGCCTCAGCTTCCCAAAGTGTTGGGATTACAGGCGTGAGCCATCTTGCCCAGCAAACATTTTTTTAAAAAGAAAAATCATGGTTTTATATAAGGTACTATCCGTGGTTTCAGGCATCCACTGGGGATCTTGAAATGTATTCCTCTCAGATACTAGGGAACAACTGTACATATTAGTTACTACTTTTTACAGTGGCCATAAGAGCCACATCTGGAAGAACACAGAGAGTGAAGAGAGGACCTGGTTTTGAAATTCACTTTCACAAGCTTGAGATCTGGGGCCAACTTATTTCACCCCTCTGGAGCCTCCTGCCTTGGCAAAATGAGGCTAAGACCTTGGAGCACTTGTTTTTACCTGGGCTGATATTGGAATCACCTGGGGCTCAGACCCACTTCATCCCCATGATTCTTATGTAATTGTTCTGGGATCCGGCTTTAGAAATCAAGAGTTCTAAAAACTCTCCAGGTGATTCTATTGTGCAGCCAAAGTAGAAACCCTTCTTAGAAGGGTCTTGTGGAGCTCAAAAAGAAAACTAAGGCCAGGCACGGTGGCTCATGCCTGTAATCTCAGCATTTTGGGAGACCAAGGCGGGTGGATCACTTGAGGTCAGGAGTTCGAGACCAGTCTGGCCAACATGGCGAAACCCCGTTTCTACTAAAAATACAAAATTTAGCCAAGTGTGGTGGCACGCGCTGTAATCCCAGATACTCGGGAGGTTGAGGCACAAGAATCCCTTGAACCCGGGAGGCAGAGGTTGCAGTGAGCTGAGATTGCGCCACTGCACTTCAGCCTGGGAGGCAGAGTAAAACTGCATATCAAAAAACAAACAAAAATCAAAACTATGTGAAGGGCTTTGTCAAGGCTGAAGTACTTTTGAAACCTCACTGTTTTCCTGTGCTAGCTCTGAATTCTTTTTTAAAAGAAAAGTAAGTTCTGTAATTAAAAAAAAGAAAAAGAAAAAAATTCCCTTACACTGCAGACTCTCATTGAAAGCAGACTCTTGCTAATGCTTCATCTTTGGCTCCAAAGGAAATCCATCCCTACCCTAGTCATAACTTACAATAGGGCTTTTCCTGGGTGAAGCAGCATTGGTCTGGTCATCAGAGTGCTCTCCCCAGCCCTCTGGAAGCTACGGATTTGCAAGCCATGAGCACCCTCTATGAGGGGAGGTAAAGGGAGATTGTGGGGTAACAGAGGAGATGGGGTTAATGTGAAGTTCAAGTTTCCAAGGAGCAATGCGGTCTGGGACACAGCTGTCAGAATACTTTGAGATTCAAGAAAGTCCATCATAATGAAAGTGTGCTGAGAGGTCCTGGGGAGGCAGGCTGGTTTGTGCAAAACCTGCACTTTGAAGTTCTGACAGTAAGAGGAGTTAGCAGTTCATGCACCCCTCCTGTCTTCTCACATCGATTTGTGCATTGCCGTCTTGTCATAAGAATCACAAATACAGATGTTTTTGTCAGATCCCAAAGCCTTAAGGTTCTATATCTGACCTAACTCCAATAGACTTCCAGCAAGTTAAGTTCTGTTGATCAGTCAGTCCAGTTGATCAGACTCTCATGGCTGGCATCATCCTCCGGACTTCGCCTGGAATAGCAGATTGGAACTTATTCAGAGCTTTGTGATGATAGTAACTTGTTCACAAGCAGACCTTATGTTTGCTAGTAAGATTCTCAACGTTTTTTTAAGCTCCACAGTTCCAATCTCACCAGCTAGATTCCTCTCCTTTCTTACCACTTTGAGATTAGGTCAAGTCTGTTTTGATCAATGCAAGCAAGTAATCCCATCCATTCAACCATTTGTTCATGAAGTCATCCATCCATTTAATTCCCCATTCATCTGCCAACTGTCACACACTCATTTTCAATCCATCTATTTCTCCATCCATCCATTTTTTTTTTTTTTTTTTTTGTGACACAGAGTCTCACTCTGTCACCCAGGCTGGAGTGCAGTGGCACAATCTTGGCTCACTGCAACCTCCGCCTCCCTGGTTCAAATGATTCTTGTGCTTCAGCCTCCTGAGTAGCTGGGATTATAGGCACATGCCACCGCACCCAGCTAATTTTTGTCTTTTTAGTAGAGATGGGGTTTCACCATGTTGGCCAGGGTGGTCTCAAACTCCTGACCTCAAGTGATCCACCTGCCTCGGCCTCCCAAAGTGCTGGGATTATAGGTGTGAGCCACTGCGCTAGGCCATCCATTCGTTTTTATCTATCTGTTTACTCATCCATCTAATCATCTCCCTGCTCACTCACTCTTCAGCTACATTCAAGTTCCTAGTCCCCAAAGAGCTTGTTTGATATTTTTATTGTTATCCCATGGACATGGACTCACTACATGGTAGCTATTTTATGATTACTTAATCAGTTGAATCATTATTTGCCAAGATTTGGGGGCTTTCTCTGTGCGGGTATTACTGAGGATACAGTAATTAGCCTGAATTGAATCTTGAAGTTTGAGTAAGCGTTTTACAGGTGAAGAAATTACAGTTGATTCTTGAATAACACAGCACTGAACTGTGCAGGTCTACTTATAGGAGGATTTTCTTCTGCCTCTGCCACCTCTGAGACAGCAAGACCAAGCCCCTGCTTCCTCCTCCTCCTCAGCCTATTCAATGTGAAAATCACAAGGATGAAGACCTTTATGATGATACATTTTCACTTAATGAATAGTAGGTATATTTTTTCTCTTATTTATTTATTTTTTTTCCAAACAGGGTTTTGCTCTGTCACCCAGGCTGGAGTGCTGTGGTGTGATCATGGCTCACTGCAGTCTCCATCTCCTGGGCTCAAGTGATTCGATCATCCTACCTCAGCCTCCTGAGTAGCTGGGATTAGAAACATATGGCACCGTGCTTGACTAATTTTGTAATTTTTGTAGTGACAGGGTCTCGCTGTGTTACCCAAGCTGGTTTTGAACTCCTGGACTCAAGGGATCTGCCCACCTTGGCCTCCAAAATTGCTGGGATTGTAGGCATGAGCCACCATCCCCAGTGGCTCATGCCACCCAGTGGGTGGGTGGATAGATAGATAATTGTTTTTCTAACTTTATTGTAAGAATACAGTATATAATGCACATAACCTACAAAATATGTGTTAATCAACTATGTTATCAGAAAGGCTTCTGGCCAACAGTAGGCTATTAGTAATTAAGTTTTGAGGGAGTCAGAATTTTTGTGGATTTTTGACTATGTGGGGTTGTGGGAGAGGTTGGCACTTGTAACTCCTGTGTTGTTCAAGGGTCAACTGTAGAGCTAAGTGTGAGAAAAAGCCTTCCAGGCACAAGGAATAGCTAGTGCAAAGTCTTGGAGGTGAGAGCAAGTGTGGCTTATGGGAAGCTGTGGGTAGCTTCTAATGTCAGGGTAGAAGGATGGGAGGCAGAGAGCCTCCGGCAATCAAGGCTGGAGAGATGAGAGAAGGCCAGTTGATAAAGGGTGTTGTGTGTCATGCCCAGAAGTCTAGAGCTGTTGGAGGAATTTCAGCTTGCAGCTGCATCTGAAATTGACTTGACTTCTTTGTTCAAAACCAGAAATGGCTGATCTCTCCAGGTTCAGTCGATGGAAGATCTCAGAGACACATTTCATAGACTGGGCCTGGGAACCAGGACTGCCGGACTGCGGGGCCAGTGTTTTCTTCTACCACCCTGTGCTTCCACCCCTCCTTCTGACTCATTCTCCTTTTCCCCATATCTAATCTCTTTCATCCCTCAGTTTCTAAGACAGGTCTGTAAATCCAGTCAGAGCTCAATAAATGTTTGTTGAATGACTCACTGATTCCTGTGGAAGACATGTACATGTATGTGTGCACGCACCTGGAAGGCCTCTTTGAATTTCTTCCACCATTCCAGGCCCACTTAGAGCTGCACTGGTAGAAAGGGAATGGATTAGCAACTGAAAAAATCAGGCTGTGGGCTCTGGGTCTCTCACTGACAGGTCATGTCTCTTGGCCAAGTCTCCACATACTCTCCAGGCCTCTGCTGCTGCACATCTGTGAGATGGAATTGGTGGCCTCTGACCTGGGGTAGTTGGGAGCTGTGGATAAGTCCATGCTGAGAAAAGCCTTTGTTGCTGTAGAGTGCTGTACATTCACAAGGTAATCTTCCCACTCCTCTCCTAGTTTAGGAGACTGTCATGTTGTATTTGTTTTGTTCTTGTTTTGTTTTGTTTTTAGACTGAGTCGCTCTGTTGCCCAGGCTGGAGTGCAGTGGCGCAATCTCGGTTCACTGCAACCTCCGTCTCCCAGGTTCAAGCAATTCTTATGCCTCAGCCTCCCTAGTAGCTGGGATTACAGGGGCCGCCACCACACCTGGCTAATGTTTTTGTATCTTTAGCAGAGACGGGGTTTCACTATGTTCACCAGGCTGGTCTTGAACTCCTGACCTCAAGTGATCTGCCTGCCTTGGCCTCCCAAAGTGCTGGGATTACAGGTGTGAGCCACCGCGCCTCATATTGTATTTGGATAATGAAAAACCTCCTCCATGCTGCTGTATCAGTCATGGTCCCAGCAGGGTACAGAGGATACCTTTGGGGGTATTTAATAAAGCAACTTTTATGGAGGGTTAGTAGGGTTTGGGAAAACCAAAAAGCAGTACTTTGAGACTGATAACAGAGGGCACCTCATCCACTCCCCCTGGCTTGAAGGGTCAAGAGGAAGGAGAGAGGGAGAGCAGGGGATATACATACCAGCCTTTCTCCTCACCTCCCATCTCCTGCCAGTGTCTTCCACAGGCAGAACCTGACCAGAAACCAAGGTCAAGGTTATCATGAATGTAGTCCATGAAGTTCAACTGCCTGGGGCACAGAGCAAAGTGCTGAAATGTACAGAGTGGATCTGGGGGTCAGATGAGAGGTGTCCAGCACCCCATCCTACTCACATTTGTTCTCCCTCCCCTCCAAAGATGTTCCCATTGCTATAAGTGCCTTCACAGCCCCCTCTTTATCTGGCTCACTCCTACCTGTCAGCCTTTCAGTCAGGTCTGCCTCCTCCAAAAAACCCTCCTGGAGCTCCTTTCCATCTGGGTTTTTTTTTTTTTTTTTTTTGAGACAGAGTCTCACTCTGTCACCCAGGCTAGAGTGCAGAGGCCTGATCTCGGCTCACTGCAACCTCCAACTCCTGAATTCAAGCAATTCTCCTGCCTCAGCCTCCCAAATAGCTGGGACTACAGGCACGTGCCACCATGCCCAGCTAATTTTTGTATTTTTAGTAGAGACAGGGTTTCACCATGTTGGCCAGGCTGGTCTCGAACTCCTGACCTCAGGTGATCTGCCTGCCTCTGCCTCCCAAAGTGCTAGGGTTATGGGCATGAGCCACCCCGCCTGGCCCCATCACTGTATTTGTCATACTGTGGGGATTGTTTGTTCTCTGGGAACAGGAACTCGATCTTTCTTTCGCCACCTCAAGCCTGTGCCTAGCACAAGATCCATGTGAAGCAAACCCTAGAAAGTGTTTGTTGCTCCGAGATGAACTCTGTGACCTTGAAGCACAGTGCCCGGTGGGTTTCTCCTCTCCTACAAAACTTTTGGCGGTTCCCCATTTTCTGCAAGTCATAAAAATCCCAAACCCCTTTCTCTGCTGTCTAAGGAGCCTCACCATCTGCCCTCATTGTCACATCTCTGACCGCCAGCGCCCGAGACAACCAGTGGGCTAAGTTCAGGGATTCCTGTCTTCCGTTACCATGTGTTGGATTGCTTGTGATTCATTCCCACTTGGCTTGTTTTGGAAATTAGCATTTCTCGGTGATGCACCTGATACAGGGTCACTTAGGCAACTCTGATAGTTTGGGAGAATCAGAATTGACAACACAACAGTACTTTAAACACACATTCTCCTCCCCATCCAAACACACTTATCTCTTCTATTACCCAGATAATGGGCAGTCCTTTCCAGTTCCGTGCTGATAAGCTGCTAATAAGTCTCTGCCTGACTAGTTGTCTTGCGTGGGGTATTGGACAGGCAAGAGAGAGGTCTGTGGATTCATTGGTTACTTCTTTCAGTAGCTGTGACCTCATATGAGAACCTTTGCTTCCTACTTTTTAAAAATTATTTTTTTGGGGCTAGGCATGGTGGCTCACGCCTGTAATTCCCAGCACTTGGAAAGGCCAAGGCAGGAGGATCTCTTGAGCCCAGGAGTTCAAGGCCACCTGAGCAACATAGTGATACCCCATTCCTACAAAAAAAATTTAAAAATGGGGCAGGAGGATCATTTGAGCCTGGGAGATGGAGGCTGCAATGAGCTGTGATTGTGTCACTGCACTCCTGCCTGGGTAACAGTGAAATTCTGTCTCCAAAACCAAAAAAATTTTTTAAAATTTTCTTTTCTTGTATTATAGAGGACTAAATGTTACCTATTTTTTCAAGAAAAGAGTCATATTACCCTCTTTCTGGGCAATCCTGGAGACCCCATGAGGATTTTATGCAGACACTTTAAATGGAATAGCCTTAAGGAAATGGAGTCCTTGCTGTACTGGAGGCATCCCACTTTTTTTTTTTTTGAGATGAGTCTTGGTCTGTTGCCCAGGCTGGAGTGCAGTGGCATGAACTCAGCTCGCTGCAACCTGGGTTCAAGCGATTCTCCTGCCTCAGCCTCCTGAGTAGGTGGTACTACTGGCATGTGCCACCATGCCCAGCTAACTTTTGTATTTTTAGCAGAGATGAGGTTTCACCATGTTGGCCAAGCTGTTCTCCAACTCCTGACCTCAAGTGATCTGCCTAGTTCAACCTCCCAAAGTGCTGGCATTACAGGCATGAGCAATTGCGCCCAGCCTCCATTTTGCATTGCCATTAATTTTCTTTTCTTCTTCTTCTTTTTTTTTTTCTTTTGAGACAGGGTCTCACTCTGTTGCCCAGGCTGGAGTGAAGTGGTGCAAACAGAGCTCACTGCAGTCTCAACCTCCTAGGCTCAAGCTATCCAGCCACTTCAGCCTCCCAAGGAGCTGGGACCACAGGCATGCATCATCACACCTGGCTACCTAAAAAACTTTTTTTTTTTATAGACAGGGTCTTCCTATGTGGCCCAGGCTGGTCTCAAACTTCTGGGCTCAAGCAAGCCTGCCTCAGTCTCACAAAGTGCTGGCGTCACAGGCATGAGCCACCACACCTGATACATTTATTTTCTTAATTATTTATTTATTTTTGAGTTTTGTTTGTTTGTTTGTTTGTTTCTTTTAGACTGGAGTCTCATTATGTTGTCCAGAATAGTCTTGAACCCCTGGGCTCAAGTGATCCACCTGCTTTGGCCTCCCAATGTGCCGGGATTATAGGTGTGAGCCATTGCATCTTGTCCTATTTCTCAAAGGCAGTAGATTCCATTTCATTTTGTCTCTGCTAATGTGGGGCAACCGTGTGTGCATATGTTATGTGTGTTGTATATGCAAATTTGTATTTAATATCAAATGAAAGTAATAGTAGATTTCCCAAGTATCATTTATGCTCATTTCTATGACTTAGAAATTAGACTTACCATCAGATCTTGTTATTTAATGCAATAACAAAGACGCCTATGCTATAATATCACAAATTTGGTTTTGAGTATTTTGATGGTTGGATTTTTACACAACCTTTTCTTTGTCATCTTTTTTTTTTTTTTTTTTTTTTGAGACAGGGTCTCACTCCGTCGCCCAGGATGGAGTGTAGTGGCGTGATCTCAGCTCACCATAACCTCCGCCTCCCGGGTTCAAGCGATTCTCTTGCCTCAGCCTCCAGAGTAGCTGGGACTACAGGTGCCCGCCATCAAGCCCAGTTAATTTTTTTATTTTTAGTAGAGATGGGGTTTCATCATGTTGGCCAAGCTAGTGTTGAACTCCTGACCTCAGGTGATCCGCCCACCTCAGCATCCCAAAGTGCTGGGATTACAGGTGTGAGCCACTGCGCCCAGCTTCCTTTTTTTTTTTTTTTTTTTTTTTTCAGGTGCAGACTCGCTCTGTTGCCCAGGCTAGAGTGCGATGGCGTGATCTCAGCTCACTGCAACCTCTGCCTCCCAGGTTTAAACAATTCTCCTGCCTCAGCCTTATGAGTAGCTGGGATTACAGACGCCCGCCACCATGCCCAGCTATTTTTTGTATTTTTAGTAGAGACAGGGTTTCACCAGGTTGGCCAGGCTGGTCTCGAACTCCTGGCCTCGTGATTCGCCCATCTCAGCCTCCCAAAATGCTGGGATTACAGGCGTGAGCCAACGCACCCGGCCGCAGCCTCATTTTTCATATATTTTAAATTACACATACTATTATCATTGTTGCTTTTGTAGAGTCAATATTCACTTATGTTTGCCCTTTTCCTTGCATTTCCATTATTTCATATGGAATTATTTTTCTTCTGCCCGAAGAATCTTATTTTACCTTCATTTTAAAAGCCTGTTTCCTTTTTTTTTTCTTTCTTCTTTTCTTTTTTTTTTTTTTTGAGACAGGGTCTAACTCTGTCCCAGGCTGAAGTGCAGTGGTTGGTATGATCTCAGCTCATTGCAACCTCAGCCCACTGCAACCTCAGCCTCCTGGGCTCCAGCAATCCTCCCACCTCAGCCTTTCAGAGTAGCTGGGACCACAGACGCGTGCCACCACGCCTGGCTAATTTAAAAAATATTTTCAGTAGAGACAGAGTTTTGCCATGTTGCCCAGGCTGGTCTCAAACTCCTGGGCTCAAGCAATCTTCCTGCCTCAGCCTCCCAAAGTGCTGGGATTACAGTCGTGAGCCACTGGGCCTGGCCAAAAACTGTTTTCACTGGGTATGGAATTTTAGATTGGCAGTGTTTTCTGCCCTCGTCCCTTACTCCCAGCCTTTAAAAGATGCTAATATGTTGTCTAAACACATTATTTTGAAAGAGGTACACCGAAAAACACAGACACACAAACTCTAAAATCCCTTAAGAATCCAGTCTCAGATTGGAGAAACACCCTCAGGGGAAACAGCTAGAACCCAAGTTTCTGATTACTGTTAACCACAGATGCTCCAGGAAAATCAGGAAGAAGTTTAGAAATGCAAAGCAGGGGAAATTACATAAATATATACATATATATACATATACACATGAATATAATAAAACAAATTTAGAGAAGCAGAGGAAGGAGAGGAAGAGCTTTGGGGCTTAAATCCCGTCTGCCTTTGGCTCGTCCTGTGATTTTGAACAAATTCCTTCACCTCTTTGAACCGTAGTATCATCTGTGAAATAGAGATAATAGTACCCGCCTTGTGAGATGTAGTAATGGTGACAGGAAAGAAATATGGCTGGGCATGGTGGCTCACACCCAACATTTTGAGAGGCCAAGGGGGAAGAATTGCTTGAGTCTAGGAGCCCAAGACCTGCCTGGACATCACAGTGAGACCCATTTTTTTTTTTTTTTTTTTTTTAGATAGAATCTTGCTCTGTCACTCAGGCTGGAGTGTAGTGGCATGATCTCGGCTCACTGCAACCTCTGTCTCCCAGCTTCCAGAGATTCTCCTGCGTCAGCCTCCTGAGTAGCTGGGATTACAGACACGCACTGCCACATCCGTCTACTTTTTTATTATTAGTAGAGACAGGGTTTCACCATGTTGGCCAGGCTGGTCTCAAATTCCTGACCTTAGGTAATCCGCCTGCCTCGGCCTCCCAAAGTGCTTGGATTACAGGCGTGAGCCACTGCACCCAGCCATGAGACCCCATTTTTACAACAAAATTAAAAAATTGGCCCTCTGGTGGAGCACACCTGTAGTTCTAGCTACTCAGGAGGCTGAGGCAGGAGGATTGCTTGAGCCCAGGAGTCTGAGCCTGCAGTGAGCTATGATTATATCACTGAATGCCAACAAGACTATCTCTAAAAAAAAAAATAAAATGGCGGGTGCTGTGGATCACACCTGTAATCCCAACACTTTGGGAGGCCGAGGCAGGAGGATCACTTGAGGTGAGAAGTTTGAGACCAGCCTGGACAATATAGCAAGACCCCATTGTTTACAAAAATAGTTTTTTAAAAATTAGCTGAGTGTAGTGGTGTACTCGTAGTCCCAGCTACTCAGGAGGCAACATGGCAAAACCCCATCTCTACAAAATACAAAAAAATTAGCTGGGCATAGTGGTATGGGCCTATAGTTCCAGCTACTTGGGGGGCTGAGGTGGGGGGTTGTTTGAGCCCAGAAGTTCGAGGCTGCAGTGAGTTAAGATCGTGCCACTGTGCTCCTGCCTGGGCAACAAGTGAGACCCTGTCTTTAATAAAAAAGATATATGTGATGTGCCTTCTGCTGAGCCTGACCCTGCCTGACACAGCCAGGCCAGCTCATGAAAAAGGAAAAGAGGGAAGGAGGAGAGTGAGCTTTGTGCCTTCTGGGAAGTCAGAGGGGTAGGAAGTCACTTAACCTCCACACATGACAACCTAGGGACAGTCCCCATGAGCCTGAGAGGATGCTGACCACCAGGAGTCTAGAATGCTCAGAGCTGGCACGGGGGGTCTGAACAACTGAGAAAAATCTGCTTGCTTGAGTGCCAAGACCTGGGCTCTTCAAAGGATCCTGGTGCCCTGTGGTGGTCAGACTCCATGAGGCACTGAGGTTAGACTTAGTCTGCTTCTTCTCCACTTAAGGGAAAACAGGCCGTTAATGGGGCTGCAGTGGTCGGGCCTGGAATTTCAAGGTCGTGTGGGCATCTTGTCCTCGTCTCACCTGGGCCTGCCTGAGGCTGAGGCCCTGGAGATCCCCAGGCAGCAGGCTCAGACAGGGGTCACACTGGATGATCCTACGTGCTTTGCCGGTGGTCACTGCCAAAGGACTCCTAGGGTGCACAGTTTTTAAGAAGGCTCGCTCTCTCAGGGGGACCATCCCGCACTTGCATGCCCTTGAGAATGAGGTCCTCCTTAAATATTCACTCTGGTTCTTCTCCTGCCTCGCTCAAGTCCAGGCCCTGGGTCAAGAAGTGAGAGGTGAACTCACAAGCCAGCTGTTCCCAGATTTGGCTTCATACTGAACCACCTGAAAAGCTTGTGAAAATGCAGAATTCCTCTTGAATCTGAATCTCTGCAGGTAGGGCCTCGGAATCTGTATATATCAATATCCTCTTGGGTCGTTATCACAAGGCCAACCCCAGGCAGATCCAGGGATGGCCCTTGCAGAGCACTGAGATTTAGGTAAATTCTGCAGATCTTTGCAGTTTACGAATCACTTTTCCATGCACAGAACTTATTTGATTTTCACAACATCTAGGGCATTTTTCAAAGAGGAAAATCACATCAGTTATCATGTTGCAGAGCCAGAAGCAGCACTCATTTATTCAATCAGTCATTCCCATTTTGCAAACATAGCTTAAGTGTCTACTGAGCCACCAACAAGGAAATTGTCACTTAGTAGTGAATACACACACATACACACATAGACTACTTAAAATACAATGGCTGACCGGCGCAGTGGCTCACGCCTGTAATCCCAGCACTTTGGGAGGCCGAGATGGGTGGATCACCTGAGGTCAGGAGTTCAAGACCAGCCTGGCCAACATGGTGAAACCCCGTCTCCACTAAAAATACAAAAATTAGCCAGGTGTGGTGGCGGGCGCCTGTAATCCCAGCTACTCAGGAGGCTGAGGCAGGAGAATTGCTTGAACCCGGGAGGCGGAGGTTGCAGTGAGCCGAGATGGCACCATTGCACTCCAGCCTGGGGGACAAGAGTGAGACTGCATCTCAAACAAAACAAAACAAACAAACAAACAAAACTAGGGCTGTGGAGCTCACAGGAAGGAGAAGTAGGGAGTGTGTTGGGAGGAGACCAAGCAGGTTTCTTGGAGGAGTACTTGGATCAGGTTTTTTTTGTTTTTGAAACTAGGTCTCACTTTGTTACTCAGGCTGGAGTGCAGTGGCTGGATCTTGGCTCACTGCAGCCTCGACTTCCTGGGCTCAAGCGATCCTCCAGCCTCAGCCCCCACAAGTAGCTGGGACTACAGGCCCGTGCCACCATGCCCAGCTAATTTTTTTTGTATTTTTGTAGAGATGGGGTTTTGCCATGGTGCCCAGGCTGGTCTTGAACTCCTGAGTTCAAGCGATCTGCCCACCTCAGCCTCCCAAAGTGCTAGGATTACAGGTGTGAGCCATTGCGCCTGGCCTGGGTTGGGTTTTGAAGGTTGAGCGTGATTTCCCCATTTGTGGAAAGGCATTCTTGCAGCGGGAACTGCACATACAAAGTTGCGCTTTGTTGGGCTTGAGAAAGCCTTAATGTATTCAAGGAATGATAAATAGGTGAAACAGGGTCTCGCTATGTTGTCCAGGCTGGTCTCAAACTCTTGGGCTCAAGCAATTCTCTCGCCTTGGCCTCCCAAAGTGCTGGGGTTACAGGTGTGAGCCACCGCGCCCGGCCCCCAGTGCTTCTTAAACACAGTGTGCAAGTAGATTACCTGGGGATCTTGTTAAAATGCAGATTCTGATTTCATATGTCTGGGATGGGGCATTCTGCATTTTTAACAAGTTCCCAGGGGTATGCAGAGGCTACCGGTCCCTGGATTATACTTGACGTAGAAAGATTTTAGGTAGCTATACTTAAAGTCAGTGTGGAAGATCGGCTGAGGAGGGAAAAGACTAGACACAGGAAAAATATCAAACAAGGCACTGGGGGTGGTGGCTTCTTAAGAACACTGTTGCTTCTCCCGTTACTTTTGGAAGCAGCCCCCATCAGCCCTGGGTTATGTCATCCCCTGTATTTTTCCCTCCCAGAACAGGGCAGGGGATGGGAGGGGTCAGAACTCAGCTGTGCGCACGTCTGTACAGCTGGTGAATGTCGGCAACTGACATCACAATGCTTCTGGGGGATCGTCACAACCTATTGATATTCACTCCATCACAGGACTTGGAACAGTTTTGCTAGCAGAAAATACGACTCTCTTCTATGCTGTGGTAAAATAGTACAACCACAAGGCCAGGATCCATAGAATGTGACCAGCTGTTTCAGTGGTTTTCTGTTACTATTTGTGAAGTCTTCATTCTTGTCATCTCTAGCAGAAGAGTGGTGCCAGTTGCCAGAGGTTTGAGGAAAAAGAAGTCATGGGAGAATTTACATTTCAGAAAATTCCATTCATTGACTTAATTATTTCTGGGAATTCAGAAAAGACCACCATGATCCTTTAGCCGCGAAAACACTTGGGCCAGTTTTGGAAATGCTAGAATCCTGCAGGAGAAGCTTTTGAGAAATTCAGTACTGTGCAGTGTTGTAACCCGAATACTTTGCTGGTATGTGAAGTTTTTGAAATATTGAACAGTGCTATAGCAACACAAGGTGAAATTAACACAGAGAGTGAAAATAATTACAACCAGAGAGACAGTTATCAATCTCGCAGTCATCACCTTGCCACACTTACTATACATGTCAATATTTTATTTTATTTTATTTTTTTGGTTTTGTTTTGCTTTCCTGGTCCTTATCCTTAGGCAGATTTATTATTATTATTATTATTCTGAGGCACTGGCAATAACATTCAATTCTGTGTTCTGCTTTTTCTGCTTAACATTGCAGCATAACTGTTTTTCCATGCTGTTACCCAGACCCCATTAGAAAGTTCATGGGCTGTATAATTCACTGGCTAGATGTATCATAGTTTATGTAAACCTTGCTATTGGCCATTTCAGTCATATGATGCCATTAAAAATGGAATAAGCAACATCGTCAGTGGGAGTGTGAAATGGTACAACTCTTTTGGGAAAGCGATTTGGCAATCTGTATCACAGGCCTGAAATATGTTCATTGCCTTAGAGCTCGTCATTCCACTTCTGGGAATCTGTCATAAGGAAATAATCCAAAGTGCAGACTTGGATTCATGCACCGAGATTAAAACTTTATATATAATAGAGAAAAGCTTGAAATAACCTAAGTGTTTGAATATAGGAGTAGCATTATGTAAATGATTATATACTGCTCAATGGAATATTATGCAGCCATTAAAAATGTTTATGAAAAGTTTATAAATGAAAAATGCTTACATTATGATTGAAGTAAGCAGGATGTAATATTTTATGCTATGGTCCCAGCTGTGTAAATACAGGCTACTAAGTAGGCAGAGAAAAAGTTTGCAAGGAAACACACCAAAATATTAATAGTAGGTGTTGGGAATAGGAATGATTTTATTTTTCTTTCAACTTCTCATGGCTTAAGAAAAACCAAAATAACCTTTATTTTGTTCGGATAAAAAGTTAATGCTTTCATTGAATAAAATTGCAAGCATTAAAGAAATATGTCATGTAGAAAGTTAACCCTTATTCATTGCCCTGTTTGCATTTCTCTAACACATTTTCAAAATTAATTTATTATGAGAATATCAGACCAGACTATTTTTGAAGAAGTTGTACATATTCTTTTTGTCTTGTAGAATTCTTTTGCTTTTTTTTAAATACATGTATCCTAAAACAAATTAAGTTCTATATAATGCAATTGTAGTCAGCATTACGATATCTAGACTTTTCTTTATAAGAAAGAAGAGGAGAACAAGTTCAGCTACTAGGAAAACAGACCTGATTTTGCTTGATATCAAATAGGCATTACTATCAAGTCTGGAATTTCTTTTTTTTTTTTTTTGAGACAGAGTCTTGCTCGGTCACCCAGGCTGGAGTTCAGTGATGCGATTTCAGCTCACTGCAACCTCCGTCTTCCAGGTTCAAGTGATTCTCCTGCCTCACTCAGCCTTCCAAGTAGCTGGAATTACAGGCGTGTGCCACCACGCCTGGCTAATCTTTGTATTTTTGGTAGAGACGGGGATTTCACCATGTTGCCCAGGCTAGTCTCGAACTCCTGACCTCAGGTGATCCACCCACCTCGGCCTCCCAAAGTGCTGGGATTACAGGCGTGAGCCACCATGCCTGGCCAAGTCTGGAATTTCTTAGATGTGGAGTAAAGTCAGTCTGTTAACCAGGTCCTTGTTATTCTAGATAATTCTTATTGATTCCAAAATTGTTTTTTCTGAGAGTTCCTTCAGAACGAGGTCATACGAGCTTTACATTTCTCTTTCTCCCATATCACACGGGGCTCGCTAAGTAGTAGGCACACAATTAAACTTTGCAAAAGGACTGAAAGTTTGACACATGATTCTTTCTTCTCCAGGAGAAAGGGTTACTGAGAGATCATATTCACAAATCAACGTGCAATAGTGAAAAAAGATGGCAACACTGAAGAACCTTACTGAATAACCCAGTATGGACCACGTATTGTAATAGGCACTTAATTTCTCTCAATCCTTTCGATATCTCCTTGAAATAGGTACTATTAGCCCTCAATTTACAGATAAGAAAACTGAGGCTGAGGTTTACACAGCCAGTGAGTGGGGCAGACAGGCTTTTAATCTATTAGTATATCTGTCTGACTCCACAACCTCTGACCTTTCCACGGGGCAGGAGAGGCGCCAGATGAATGACTCAGGAAATAGGGTCATAGGTTTCCCTCTCTGAGGCAAGTGTACTTTCATGCCAGGCAGCTAATCAAAGGTCCCTGTTTTATTTATTATTGTCTGGCTATCTTCTGTTCTGCATTCCATGAGCCAGTAAGCTCGTAAAGGGTAAGGCATTTTCTTTCTTTCTTCTAATAACAGTACATTGGCACCTCTCTGCCCAATTAGAGGATTGAGTTCTATTCCTTAGTCTACATGCTGATGTCTGTGCCTGACCAACATAATCCCTCCCCTGAACAATATAAAACAGACCAGGGGCTGGGCGCCATGGCTCAAGCCTGTAATCCCAGCACTTTAGAAGCCCAAGGTGGGCCTGATTGCTTAAGCCCAGGAGTTCGGGACAACCTGGGCAACGTGGTGAAACCCCATCTCTACAAATAATATAAAAATTACCCAGGCATGGTGGCACACACCTGTAGTCCCAGCTACTCAGGAGACTGAGGTCAGAGGATCTCTTGATCCTGAGAGGTGGAGGCTGCAATGAGCCGTGATTGTACCACTGCACTCCAGCCTGGGTGACAGAGTCCAACCCCGTGTCAAAAAAAAATAAAATAAAGCAAAAAACAAAAAGCAGACCGAGATGCTTCCCTACCAAAGAGCACTGAGAAATGATTAGCTTCCCCATCCTTGTCTTTCCTGAGCATATCTGCTTCATGTCACCAGGTAGTGACTGTCCATTCGAAAGACAGGAGAGGAGCAAGCGCAGAGAGCTAGATTCGTGGAAAGAGTAACACATTCAAAGGGCATAACTCTGAACTCATTTACTTAAAAAATTTACGGCCGATTTTCATTATTTGTGGCAGCTGTTTTCTGTAAAGTTGCAATGAACGCTGAATTACTGAATACTAAACGGTAGCTCCCAGGGGATATACTGGGTAAGGTCCCTTTGAATCTCTGGTCCCAATGTTTTCACCCACCAATCAATATGTAACTGTGTCGTATGTGTGCTTCTGTTTAAAGACACCTTATTTAGGCTGGGCGTGGTGGCTCAGGCTTGTAATCCCAGCACTTTGGGAGGCTGAGGTGGGCAGATCCCCTGAGGTCAGGAGTTGAAGACCAGCCTGGTCAACATGGTGAAACCCTGTCACTACTAAAAATACAAAAATTAGCCAGGTGTGGTGGCACATGCCTGTAATCCCAGCTACTCGGGAGGCTGAGGCAGGAGAATAACTTAAACTCCAGGAGATGGATGTTGCAGTGAGCTGAGATCGCACCACTGCACCCTAGCCTGGGTGACAGAGCGAGACTCTGTCTCAAAAAACAAACAAAAAAAATAAAATAAAGGCACCTTATTTAATATATCTTGTTGATTCATTAACATTGAATTCACAGCCTACAGCAATATAACGAATGCCTAAATAAAGCTTATTTATAACGCACATCACAGCCTTCTTAGGCTTGGGAACACCAGACAGCACTTCAGCACTGTTCCTGGAGACCACGTTAAACAGCCAAATTACCAACAAAAAGCAGAAACAGCTGGGCGCAGTGGCTCATGTCTGTAATCCCAGCACTTTGGGAGGCTAAGGTGGGCAGATCACCTGAGGTCAGGAGTTCGAGACCAGCCTGGCCAACATGGTGAAACCCATCTCTACTAAAAACACAAAAATTAGCCAGGCGTGGTCGTTTGTACCTGTAATCCCAGGTACATGGGAGTCTGACGCAGGAGAATCGCTTGACCCCAGGAGGCAGAGGTTGCAGTGAGCTGAGATCGTGCCACTGCACTCCAGCCTGGGGGACAGAGCGAGACTCCATCTCAAAACAAAACAAACAAAAAGACAAGACAAAACAAAACAAAAAGCACAAACATATGAAAAATGTGTGTGGCACTAAATGGGTTGCAAAAAGGACACATATATAGTTGGGGAACTGAAACAAGAAGACAGAGTACCACCTTGCTAACGTCAGCTGGGAAGGTATGTGGGTGACTCAGATGTTTCATTCCTTCTCCCATGTCTGTGAATGGCCATGAAAGTGCAATAAGTTTTGATTTTGGGGTTACAAATACATTTTAGTAAGGAGGCAAATTCATAAATATGGAATCTTTAAATGAGGATTGACTGTAATTGCATCAGTGACAATTGCTGAATTAGACATCTGGTGGGCTATTGCATTTTTTTGATATTTGCAAGGCTGGTATAAGATAAACCTTAAACTCTTAAGATGACAACTTTTTTTTTTTTTTTTTTTGAGACAGGGTCTCGCTCTGTCACCCAGGCTGGAGTGCAATGATGTGATCTCGGCTCACTGCAACCTCCACCTCTGGGGTTCAAGAGATTCTCCTGCCTCAGCCTCTCAAGTAGCTGGGATTACAGGTGCGTACCACCACACCCAGCTAATATTCGTATTTTTAGTAGACACAAGGTTTCACCATGTTGGCCAGGCTGATCTTGATCTCTTGACCTCGTGATCTGCCTGCCTCGGCCTCTCAAAGTGCTGGGATTACAGGCGTGGAGCCACCGCACCCGGCTGGAGATGGGGTTTCACCACATTGGCCAGGCTGGTCTTGAACTCCTGACCTCAGGTGATCCGCCCGCCTTGGCCTCCCAAAGTGCAGGGATTAGAGGCATAAGCCACCGTGCCCTGCCTAAGATGATAATTTTCCCTCCAATTCCCTAGATATGGACTGAGATCCAAAGTCTGGGTAAATAAGAGAAAGAGGACAGGAACTTTCTTCCTCTCAGTAGCCTCCTCCCATTCCCTCTTTCCTGAATTCTTTTCTTTGAGAGAAATCATATTTAGGTTAAGACAAAAAGAACAATAGTGCGTGTAAAGCTTCTGACCTCACCCAAAAACATTATAAAATGAGCTATAAATCCAGGGAACACAATGTCTGCACATTCTGCAGCTTTCCAGAAAATCTAGGCCAGGCAACTGGAGGGGATAGGATGGGAAAGTGGGGGCTGGAGAATAATTTCTCACTCCTCCAGTGCTAATAGTCTCTGCAATAGGATCCTATTTATTTTCTTATTCAGTTCCCAAGAGCCTGTGGAGTGGGCACACAGCAATTATTGGAGTTAAGCAGAAGGTTGAGCTACATAAAATCATCTGGCTACTTAGCAGCCAGCATCAGAATCCGGGTCTTCAGATCCCACAAACTTGTTTTGTTTCTTTGAGTTTTGAGTTGGAACCAATTGAATCAGTCCCAGATGTTGATATCAGTGCATCTGTAGTTGAGAAGATAAACAATTCTTTCTAGGCCTTGAGAAATTTGCAAAATATTTTACTTTTCTACACTTGTTTCTTGAACACCTACTATATGCAAGAGGTGGGCACTGGAGTCCAAAGGTGAGTGAACTCTGACCTCCACCATGGTGGAATTCTTACTGCCCAATAAAAAGACAATGTCGGCCATAGACATCATGCACCGTCTAATGGCAATTTAGTCAATGACTGACCGCGTGCACGATGGTGGTCCCATCAAATTATCATTGTATTTTTACTACACCTTTTCTTTTCTTTTCTTTTGAGATGGAGTCTTGCTCTGTCGCCCAGGCTGGAGTGCAGTGGCGTGATCTCAGCTCACTGCAAACTTCGCCTCCCACATTCAAGTGATTCTCCTGTCCAGCCTCCCGAGTAGCTGGGATTACAGCCGCCCACCACCACGTCTGGGTATTTTTAGTAGAGACAGGGTTTTACCATATTGGCCAGGCTGGTCTCGAACTTCTGACCTCAGATGATCCGCCTGCCTCAGCCTCCCAAAGTGCCGGGATTACAGGCCTGAGCCACTGTGCTGGGCCCCATTTTTACTATACCTTTTCTATGTTTAGATGTGTGTAGACACACAGATACTTAGCATTGTGTTATAATTGCCCACAGTATTCAGTACAGCAACATGCTGTTTAGGTTTGTAGCCTAGGAGCAAGAGTTTATGTTATACAGTTTAGGTGTATAGTAGGCTCTACAATCTAGGTTTGTGCAAGTATACACTATGATGTCCGCACAATGATGAAATCACCTAACAACATATTTCTCAGACGTATCTGTCATTAAGCAGCAAATGGCTGTATGTAGTTTTCAATTATCTAGTTGCCACAATAGAACTGAAAAGAAACAGGTGAAATTAATTTAATACTATATTCCTTTAACCCAATATATCTAAAATATCATTTTCACATTTAATCAAAATGGAAATTATTTTACTTTTTTGAGACAGGGTCTTTCTTTGTCACCCAGGCTGGAGGGCAGTGGCCTGATCATAGCTCACTGTAACCTCAAACTCTGGGGCCAAGCGATCCTCCTGCCCCAGCCTCCCAAGTAGCTAGGACTACAGGCCTGCATGACCACACATGGCTAGTTTTTTTTTTTTTTTGAGACTGAGTCTCGCTCTGTCACCCAGGCTGGAGTGCAGTGGTGTGATCTCAGCTCACTGCAGCGTCTGCCTCCCGGGTGCAAACAATACTTCTGCCTCAGCCTCCAGAGTAGCTGGGATTACAGGCGCCTGCCACCATGCCTGGCTAATTTGTATTTTTAGTAGAGACTGGGTTTTGCCATGTTGACCAGGCTGGCCTCAAACTCCTGATCTCAGGTGATCCACCTGCCTCCGCCTCTTAAAATGTTGGGATTACAGGCTTGAGCTACCACGCCTGGCCCCAGCTAATTATTTTTATTTTTATTTTTGTAGAGATAGGGTCTTGCTTGTGCAGGCTGGTCTCAAACTCCTGGCCTCAAGCAATCCTCCTGCCTCGGCCTCCCAAAGTGTTGGAATTACTGACGTGAGCCACTGCATCTGGCCTAAAAATGAAAATTCATAATTAGATATTTTACATTTTTAAAAATCTGTACTTGCAAAATTCAGTATGGATATTACACTTCACAGCATATCTCAATTTCTACTAGCCCCTCTGGTGGGGCCCCGTGGCCACATGCGGCTAGTGGCTACCATATTGGGTGGCAAATATCTAGAGGGGAGATATTTCTAAATGTATTTGAAAACCACTATGGGCTCCTGGCCATAGCGAAAACCTGCACCTGTAGCACCGGGAAGGGAGAAGTTCATCCTACCTGGAAATTGTTTCTCAAAGCTTTCCAGAGGAGGGGGCTTTTGAGTTGGACTTGATTGCACTCAGAAGAGCAGGTCATCCTTGGAAAGGTAGGATCACCCATCTGGTGGCTGGTACAGGTGGATGGCGGTGGTGGGGGCTCTTTCTTGAGCCAGTTTGGTTCTGACATTCTTAAGATTGGCTTGAGTTTTGCAGCAGGATTGAGTCCTAGGAGGGGCAATCAATTTTCAGTTCTAATGCATTTGCCCAGGGCTGCATATTAGAGCTGAGTAAGCCAATCGCTGCTATCTAGATGCTCCTTTCAGAGTAGTGCTTCTTTTTTTTTTTTTTGAGACAGAGTCTCGCTCTGTTGCCCAGGCTGGAGTGCAGTGGCGCAATCTTGGCCCACTGTGAGTTCCGCCTCCCGGGTTCATGCCACTCTCCAGCCTCAGCCTCCGGAGTAGCTGGGACTATAGGCGCCCACCACCACGCCCGGCTAATTTTTTTTGTATTTTTAGTAGAGACAGGGTTTCACCGTGTTAGCCAGGATGGTCTCAATCTCCTGACTTCGTGATCCACCCGCCTCGGCCTCCCAAAGTGCTAGGATTACAGGTGTGAGCCACCGCGCCCGGCCTTCAGAGTAGTGCTTCTTAAACTCAAGCAGCACCTGCACCTGGCAGGCTTGTTGAAACACTGATTCCTGGAGCCAATCCCCAGAGTTTCTGATTCAGCAGCCCCAGAGTGGGGCCTGAGAATGTGCATTTCCAACAGGTTTCCAGGGATGCTGATGCTGACAGTTAGGGAACCAGTCTTTGTGACCATTGATTGAGCAGATGAGTAAAGTCATCAAACATTCATTCAACAAACATTTTAAAATTAGTAGTCTGTGAGAGGTATTGCTTCAGCATTGGGGATACAGCAGTGAACAAGACAAGTGAAGGCCCCTCCTTCAGTGAAGCTTCCAGCATGGACATAAATAACGGACATGGTGGGTGACTCAGGGATCTGAAGCTGACCTGATCAATAATATCCCACTGTCAGCTCTGCGATTTTGATAGCTACAGAGATTACCATCTTTTGGCATCCCAAATTATTTCTATTCCCTAAAAGAAAAATCTGTCCAAAGGGATATGCCATTTAATGAGAACCTACTATGTGATAGAATTTGTGCCAAGGGTTTTGCAAATATATTTGCATTGCATTCTGACAACATGAGAAGCACCACTGCCTGCTTTTTTATAGCAGAGGTGACTGAGTTTCAGAGAGGCTGGTTAAATACCTTGCCCATATTTCTACAAACTAGTTTATGGTGCAGCTATGATTTATCCATGGTCTTTTTGTTGGTTCATGGTATTTCCTCGATCTGGTCCTCTTAGCAACATTCCCCTACTCCTCCATTTTTTCTAATTAACTCCTCTTAATCACTCTTTGGATTCCTAAACAAGTATTGATTTTTCAGGAAAGGATTTCTTGACTTTCTGGGTAAGTTTCAGTGGTATACTGATCTCTTATTTAATTTGCAGCGAAGGTCATATGATAGCTGCTTAATAAAATTTGCTGATCGAATGAAGGAGCTAATGAATTCAATAAAATCAGGGAAGGCTTCTTGGAGGAGGAGCACCTTGCTCCAGTGGGCTGAGAAGACATTCCATGAGACCAGAGCAAGGAGAGGAGTGGCCTGGCAGCTGAAGCCAGAGACAGACTTGAACCTGGAGGTATGAAAGCCTGTGTGGGGGATCAGGTAGTCTGTACAATCTTGGGGCTTGGTAGGTTTCAAGTGGAGGCCACACTGCGGGGAGATTGTAGGGGTTGACAGGGAATTCTGATTAAGCTATTTCAGGAAATAGCCCCGGAATATTTGAGGGCAGCCAAACCACATGTATTATTTGTTTCTGTTTCAGAGGAAAAGCTCAACAATTTAGGGTTCTGTGATAGGTGCATGGGGAAGGGGGTAGGGAGGAGGAAACATTGTTAAGGTTCAAGCTCCAAAACTGTATTCCTGGGACCTAGAGTCCTAGCTCTGCCCCTTCAGAGCATGTGATTAAGGCCAGGCATGGTGACTCATGCCTGTAATCCCAGCACTTTGGGAGGCCGAGGCAGGTGGATCACAAGGTCAGGAGTTCGAGACCAGCCTGGCTAACACGGTGAAGCCCCGTCTCTACTAAAAATACAAAAAAATTTAGCCGGGTGTGGTGGTGGGCACCTGTAGTCCCAGCTACTCGGGAGGCTGAGGCAGGAGAATGGCGTGAACCCGGGTGGCGGAGCTTGCAGTGAGCTGAGATCGCGCCACTGCACTCCAGCCTGGGTGAGTAAGCAAGATTCCGTCTCAAAAAAAAAAAAAAAAAAAAAAAAAAAGAGCACGTGATGATGGGAAAGTCACCTAACCACTCTGAAACTCAATTTCCTTCTATGAAAAATAGATTTTTAAAAATCACTAATTTATTGCATTTTGGTGAGGATTAAATGAGATAATATAGCATTGATGTACCCAGGATGACGTCTGGCACCTGACAAGCATGACAAATAGTAGCTATTGCCATGAAGATGAGTTTCCTCTTGTCTCTCCTTTCCTTCTCTCTTCTCTCCCTCTTCTTCCTTTCTTCACACATGCCCATGAGAAGATTTATAAGGGGTTCTGAGCAGAGCCCTGGAACTGGTTCTTGGCATCTACGCAGATGGGACATCACAGAGGGGCTAAAGGACGGAGCCTAGGGCAGCAGGGTGAGGCTCAAGGTAAAGCCGGTCATAGCCCGGGGCATCCAGATCATTCACCTTTTGGCATCCCAGTTTCTGCATCCGCATCAGGGTCACCATAATCCCAGCTGATCATTATTGCTACTATTATTGTCTCACTGCCTCAAATTCCTAATCTCCTCCCAGGAAATAATGTAGCAACTACTGAGGCCAGCAAGGGGCTGAGTCCAAATCAGATGAATACCATAGAACATGCTAATCTGAAGGGAAGTTCCTGCCTGGAGTAGAGGCCGCATTGCACTCACCTCCACACGAAACCAAAACAAAAAAATCAAGAGAAACAAATGATGCTTAAAACAGGAAAATCTTTCAGAGTTCACTTGGCTGCAGAGTCTTGTAGGGGACAGAATTACGGTAAATCTAAAAATAATGCCTTGTGTGCTTTTTCATTAAATGCACAAAAGTTTTCTCTTTTCTACTTGCCCAGGGAACAATATAATCCAACAAGCATACTTTGCCTGGTTTCTTTGCGTAGGACCCAGAAAAGCTCAGGGGAGAAAGAGTTCCTGAGATTGTAGTTTGTTGCTTGAAGATCAAACCCAGAGAAAGTTATTTTTATACCTAGTCTTTTTTTTTTTTCCTTCTCCTTTCAACTGTGTGGTATTTATCCTAGAATTAGGGGGTTGGTCTTGTTAAACAAAATATTTTTTTCCTTGATTTTAAAAGGAGTACATGTTCATTATAGAAAATTAGAGACTACTAAAAAAAAAGAAGAAAATGACATCTGTCACTCAAAGCTAGCCATGGTTAATGCTTCATGACTTTTTTTCTTCTAGACTTTTTTTTTTTTTACTATGCTTCTTTCATTTATTTTTATTTTTGAGATGGAGTCTCACTCTGTCACCCAGGCTGGAGTGCAGTGGCATGATCTAGGCTCACTGTAACCTCCGCCCCAATGGGCTCAAGTGATTCTCATGCCTTAGTCTCCCGAGTAGCTGGGATTACAGGTGTGCGCCACCATGCCTGGCTAATTTTTGTATTTTTAGTAGAGACGGGATTTCACCGTGTTGGCCAGGCTGGTCTGGAACTCCTGACCTCAGGTAATTCGCCCACCTTGGCCTCCCAAAGTGCTGGGATTACAGGCGTGAGCCACTGCACCTGGCCAATGCTGAGTATTGTCAGACTTGTCAATTTTTGCCTTTCTGGTGGATGAAAATGATATATCTTTATTTTAGTTTTCATTTTCTTGATTTGTTAATAAAGTTGAATGCCTTTTTAAAAAATCTTTTGCTATTTAAATTTTCCCCTTTTTTGAAATGTCTCTAGTGTCTTTTGCCCATTTTTCTGGCAGGCTGTTTATCTTTTTTTTTTAGGAATTCTTTATGTACTCCATGTATTATTCCTCAGTCAGTATTGTCAGTATTTTCTATCAGTTTTGGCCTTGTTTTTTCACTTTTCTTTTTTTTTTTTTTTTTAAAAAATACAACTTTATTTCTTTTACAGATGAGGTCTTGCTCCATCACCCAGGCTGGAGTGCAGTGGTATGATCATAGCTCGCTGCAGCCTCCAACTCCTAGGCTCAAGCAATCCTCCCACCTCAGCCTCCTGAGTAGCTAGGACTACAGGTGCATGTCACCATGCCTGGCTAATTTTTTTTTTTTTTGGTAGAGATAGGGTCTTGCCATGTTGCCCAGGCTGGTCTCAAACTCCTGGGCTCAAGTGACCTGCCTGCCTCGGCCTCCCAAAGTGCTGAAATTACAGGCTTGAGCCACTGCACTGAATCACATTTTTGAATTTATTAGTTTGATGAAGGTTTATGCTTTTTTGGAGTGTCTTATTTAAGAAATCTTTCCTTACCCTGAAGTTATCAATATCTTCTATATTTTTCCCCCAAATTTAAAGTTATGCTTTTTATTTCAGTCACTATAATACCTGAACCTGATGTGTGTTTGTGTGTTTGTGTGTGTGTGTGTGTGTGTGTGTATGTCTGTGTTGATAAAGTAGGGATCAAAATTTTATTATATCTTCCATCTGAATAACTGGTTGTCCATAACCATTTATTGAATAGTCCATCTTTAACCACCACCAACACACAATGCAAACTCTTTCCTATCATAGATATTTATAAATGCATGGGTCCATGGATCTGTTTCTGGGCTTAATTCTCCCCCAATTAGTGTATATCTCTCTCCACATATCAATACTATACTATCTTAGTATTTATAATTTTATAACAAATTTTGATATTTCACAGAGCAAGTTTACCTACTTTGTTATTCTCCCTCAAAATTGTCTAAATTACAATCACAATTTATATTGATTGTTTAAATTATTTGCCATTTGCTCTTGATCATTCATTTCAAATTAGGTGTTCAAGTTCCTTGGAAAACTCTGCTGATATTTTCATTTCAATTGGATTGAATTTGCAGATCAGTCTAGGAACAGTTGACATCTATATACCAAAACTTCCTATTCATGAACAGAGTTCCTCTCTCTTCTTCCATTTGTGTCTTTAAAAATGTCATTTAACAAGTTTTATAATTTTCTCCACAGAGGTCTTGCACATTTTTTACTAGAATTATTTTTGTTGCCATAATAAGTTTTTGGTTTTTTTTGTTTGTTTGTTTTGTTTTTTGATACAGAGTCTTGCTCTGTCACTCAAGCTGGAGTTGCAGTGGTGTGACCTGGGCTCGATGCAACCTCTGCCTCCTGGGTTCGAGCAATTCCTATGCCTCAGTCTCCCAAGTAGCTAGAATTACATGCGTGTGCCACCATGTCCGGCTAATTTTTGTATTTTTTTTTTTTTTTTAGTAGAGACAGCATTTTACCATGTTATCCAGGCTAGTCTCAAACTCCTAGCCTCAAATGATCTGCCTGCCTCGGCCTTCCAGAGTGCTGGGATTACAGGCTTGAGCCACTGCGCCTGGCTAGTAAGTTGTATTTTTAAAATTACACTTTTAACTGATGGTTATTTGGTTGTAAAAACGTAATTGAGTTTCATTTACTGATAACAATCTTGTTAATTTTCTTATTCTTTCTAAGCATTTACAGTTTTTATTGGTATTTGAATATTGTCTGTAGACAATCATAATTTGGGAATAAAGAATTTTTGTACCTTTCTTTTATATGCTGACTATTAGGGAAATTTTTCTAATTATTCACCATTAAGTATAATATTTATTTTGGATTTTTGCAAATATTCTTCTTCTAGTTAAGGACATTCCTTTTTATTTCTTTACTTCTTTTTCTTTCTTTTTTTTTTTTTTTGAGATGGAGTTTTGCTCTTGTTGCCCAGGCTGGAGTGCAATAGCTTAATCTTGGCTCACCGCAACCTCTGCCTCCTGGGTTCAAGCGATTCTCCTGCCTCAGCCTCCTGAGTAGCTGGGATTACAGGCATGCGACACCATGCCTGGCTAATTTTGTATTTTCAGTAGAGACGGGGTTTCTCCATGTTGGTCAGGCTGATCTTGAACTTCCAACCTCAGGTGATCTGCCCACCTCTGCCTTCCAAAGTGCTGAGATTACAGGCGTGAGCCACTGCGCTCGGCCCTACGTGATTTTTTTTTTTTTTAAAAAAAAGCTTAGCAAACTGAAGTAGAAAGAAATGGCGGGGTAGTGAGCCCCGTATGGAGGCTGCAGTGAGCCGAGATTGCGCCACTGCACTCCAGCCTGGGCAACAGACCAAGACTCCATCTCAAAAAAAAAAAAAAAAAAATCATCTATGAGTGTTGAATTTTAAATAGCTTTTTGTGTGACAGCTCATATGATCTTGTCATTTATCTCCCTTAATATGTTAAAATGATGAATGCCCAAAATGCATACCTAATTTAAGCCAAATTTGGTCATGTGAACTATCTTTTTTTTTTTTTTCATGATTGCTGGCTTTGATTTACTAAAATTTTGTTTGGGGACTGTCTAAGTTCACGTGAAATATTGACTAATGATTTTTCATTTTTATATTACTTTGCCCTATTTCAATAGCAAAGCTGTACTTTTCTCATCAAATGAGTGGGAAATTTATTCTCCTCTTTCTGTTCCCTGCAAGAGTCTGAAGTGATATGTAATTACCTGTTCCTTGACATTTAGTTGGAATTTGCTTTAAGAACTACTGGGCCTGGGCTGGGTGCAGTGGCTCATGCCTATAATCCCAGCACTTTGGGAGGCTGAGGCGGGCCGATCACTTGAGGTCAGGAGTTCGAGACCAGCCTGACCATCATGGTAAAACCCTGTTTCTACTAAAAATACAAAAGTTAGTTGGGCATGGTGGCACTTGCCTGTAGTCCCAGCTACTTGGGAGGTTGAGGCAGGAGAATCACTTGAGTCTGGGAGGTGGAGGTTGCAGTGAGTTGAGGTAGGGCCACTGCACTCCAGCCTGGGTGATAGAACGAGACTCCGTCTAAAAAAAGAACAAAACGAAAAACCAACCTCCCCTGCCAAAAAAAAAGACGACTAACTGCTGGGCCTGGAAGTTATTTATGGAATAGTTTTATAGATTTAATTTATAATAAAATATATTTTTTAAATTGACATATGGCTGTGTGCGGTGGCTCACACCTGTAATCCCAGCACTTTGGAAGGCCGAGGTGGGAGAATCACTTGAGCACACGAGTTTGAGACCAGCCTGGGCAACATGGCGAGATTCTGTCTCTATCTATTAAAAAAAAGTTGATATACAATATTTTTTTTGATAGATTTAATTACTTTAATGGTTAAAGGAAGACTCAAGTTTTCTAATTATTTTTTAGTCAGTTCTGGTAGAATTCTTTTCTAGGAATTTTTCCATTTTATCTAAGTTTTAAAATTTATTGGCATAAAGTCATTCATAGTATGTTTTATTATCTTTTAAATCTTTGCTCTATCTGTAATTGTTCATTCCTTTTATTATTTGTAATGTTATTTTTTGAGCCTCACATAATTTTCTTATTGATCATTCTCACCTAAAATTTATCAATTTTATTAGACTTCATAAAGAACCAACTTCATTAAAGCTCTCTATTTTATTTTTGTTTTCTATTTTACCAATTTCCGTTCTCATTTTCTTATTTTCTTATGTCTACTTTCCTTGGGTTTATCCTGTGGTTATTTTCTTTTTTTTTTTTGACACAGAGTCTCTCACTCTGTCACCCAGGCTGGAGTGCAGTGGTGTTATCTCGGCTCACTGCAACCTCTGCCTCCTGGGTTCAAGTGAGTCTCCTGCCTCAGCCTCTGGAATAGCTGAGATTACAGGTGCGCATTGCCACACTGGGCTAATTTTTTTGTATTTTTAGTAGAGACGGTGTTTCACCATGTTGGCCCGGCTGGTCTCAAACTTCCGACCTCAGGTGATCCACCCACCTCAGCTTCCCAAAGTGATGGGATTACAGGCGTGAGCCACTGTGCCCGGTCCTATCCTGTGGTTATTTTCTAATTCCTTAAGTTGGATGTTTAGTTTATTACATTTCAGCATTTCTTGTTTTTCTAATCTAAGTTTTTTTGTTTGTTTGTTTGTTTGTTTTTGCTTGATTGATTGATTAAGACCAGGTCTTGCTCTGTCACCCAGGCTAAACTGCAGTGGCACAAACATGGCTCACTTGAAGCCTCAACCTCCTAGGCTCATGTGGTCTTCCTGCTTCAGCCTCCCAAGTGTCTGGGACTACAGTCATGAGCCACCACATCCTGCTAATTTTTTTATTTTTTGCAGAGACGGGGGTCTTACCATGTTGCCTGGGCTGGTTTTGAACTCCTGGGCTCAAGAAATCTGCCCATTTTGGCCTCCCAGAGTGCTGGGATTACAGGTGTGAGCCGCTGCACCTGGCCATCTAAGCATTTACAGTTACAGATTTCCCTCTCCGGTGTTGATTTAGTTGTGTTCCATACATTTTGACGTACAGTATTTTCACTGACATTCAGTTCTAGATATGTTATAATTTCCACTTTCATTGCTTCTTTGATTTTTGACTTATTTAGCTATAAGCTCATAAATTTTCAAAAGCATAAGGTTCTCTTTGTTATCTTTTTGTTATTTATTTCCAGCTGAATTGCTCTGTGGTTAAACACTGCATATATGCAATGTTTCTGAATTTTGCTGGATTTGCTTTATAGACTGGTAGACAAGATTTCATGTGTTCACGGAAAACCATATGGATGACACTATATATACATTATCCTGACTCCTCAAGAATTCCCAAATACACAATAATATTTATTAAACAAATGAGGAAACTGAGGCCAAGAGGGGCAAATAGAGAAGGCAGGTGTTAATTCAGGTTGATTTAACTCAAGCAGTTTTTTTTACTTATGTAACTGCTTAATCAGTCATTTGGAAAATAAGATAAAAGAATCTGGGATTATTGGTAAATATGAATTTAAGGGCTGTCTGGGGATTTGCTCTTGTGATATTAGTGCTAGCTCTTTATTTATTTATTTATTTATCCATTCATGATATCTATTGAGGGCTCCCTGAGCTGGACTCTGGACCAGGACAGGAATCAGGCATTTATCCTTGTGAACTTCATGTGTCTTGACCTGCTTCTTAGCATTATGAGATTATTTATTTATTTATTTATTCTTTTTTTTGTGACAGAGTTTCACTCTTGTTGTCCAGGCTGGAGTGCAATGGCGTGATCTCAGCTCACTGCAACCTCCGCCTCCCAGGTTCAAGTGATTCTTCTGCCTCAGCCTCCCAAGTAGCTGAGATTACAGGCATGTGCCACCACACCTGGCTGATTTTGTATTTTTAGTAGATACGGTTTCACTATGTTGGCCAGGCTAGTCTCGAACCCCTAACCTCAGGTGATCCACCTGCCTCAGCCTCCCAAAATGCTGGAATTACAGGCATGAGCCACTGTGTCCGGCCGATTATTTACTCTTTTAGTGAGATACAAAAAGAATCTCCTAGCAGTCATGTGGAGGAAACTGTTGAATAAATAGAAGTTGCAAATGCCAGTAATGACCAGGAGCTAATTTCACTCTCTGATTGTTGTGGTGACATTTCTATTATTGCTGGTCATTGTTGCATATTTTTGGCCTCTGCCTCTTCCAAGTCTCTCTCCCTACCTCCTGGTCCTAGCTACCGCTCTGGTTTCCATCTCCAACTCTTTTTTGGAAAAGTTCACCTGATCCCATCACTGTGGTTTTCTCATGAGCTAATGAAGAAATGCCTCGCACCTGATGAACACTGGCTGTTAATCAGCAGCAGTGCAATTACTCTCACACCATCGTCCTTACTACAAATGCCTTCACTGCCTTCTCATTGTCCTCAAATTAAAGGCCAAGCACCTTAGCATGACTCATGGAAACCAGGCCCTGCTTTCTCTCGGCCTCAATTCTCACCACTTTCCCACCCTCCCTAGTCCAGCCACAGAAGCTCTTGCAAGTTCCCAAATGCTCCATGCTCTCTCGACCACAGCTCTTTGCACAGGCTGCTTTCTCTGCTAAGAATGCCCTTCTAGGAATCCAGGCACTGCATCCCAGGACCCAGGCATTCACAGACGACAAACCCAGAGAGGCAACTTTAAAGGGGCTTGGTTCTCAGAAGTTTATCCCAGTTGGGCAGAGTGTGTGTGAGTCGAATGCTGGCTGCTGGCTGCCTGTGAGCTGCGTCTCTAGCCCTAATTTTGCCTCTATTTCTTATCTTAACTGACCCTCGACTCTCTGCTGAGGATACCGTTTGCCCTTGGCCTTTGAGAGTTAAGGTTTTAAAAAATTCCTGACTCCAGATGTGGAGGCAGAGGCTGCCTTCTCCTGCTTTTCATTGCCACTTCCAGATCCTTGCACACCTGCCACTGTTCAGCCTCCCTCTCCTCTCCAAACCTTCACTCACATTTCATGCAGTGACTCTGCCTCTAGGACCAGGCAGTGGCTGGGTGCTTTCTCATGTGGTAGGTGTCTCAACACATCTTCCCAAACCACCTTGCAGGAAAGTTATGCTTACCCCTGCTTTACAGATGGAGAAATTAGAAGCTTAAAGAGGTGAACTTTGCTCAAAGTCTTGGCCAGGGTTGCAAACTCACACCTGCTTCTGAGTCTGTGTTCTTTCCCCTATTCTGTGGTCTTGGAAAGTTTAAGGTTATGTCACTGCTGATACTAAGTGGTGACCACGGGCAAGTCACTGGCCTTTTATGGACCACAATTCTTTCATTTTAAAGCTGGGGAGACCCATATCTATCTTCCCCTTTCATGGGGTTGTTGGATATTTCAAAGCCACTAGAAAGCTCTTTCTAGAAGACACATGAACTTTAAAAGGCCAGTTGAAAGGTCCAACCCTCTGGCTCACTCACTGTCCAAAATGGGATACACCTCTGAGAGACGAGCCCATTTAAGGTCGCCTCTCTGCATTTGTCGTCTGTGAATGCCTGGGTCCTGGGATGCAGTGCCTGGATTCCTGGAAGGGCATTCTTAGAGAAAGCAGCCTGTGCAAAGAGCTGAGGTTGAGAGAGCACGTAGCATTTGGGAAACTGCAAGGGCTTCTATGGCTGGACTAGGGAGGGTGGGAAAGTGGTGAGAATTGAGGCTGAGAGAGAGCAGGGCCTGGTTTCATTTATTTATTTATCCATTCGTGATATCTATTGAGGGCTCTCTGAGCTGGACTCTGGACCAGGACAGGAATCAGGCTCTTGTCCTTGTGAACTCCATGTGTCTTGACATGCTAAAGTGCTTGGGCTTTAATGTGAGGACAATGAGAAGGCAGTGAAGGCATTTCTAGTAAGGACGATGCTGATGAGACTAATTTCCCTGCTGCTGCTAACAGCCAGTGTTCATCAGGTGCAAGGCATTTCTTCATTAACTCATAATGCACTCAACAGCCATTGTAAGTGGGATAGATGTTATTCTCATTTTAAGGTGAAGAAGCCATGAGAAGACTAAGTTCGGCGATGTTAAGTAACTGACCCAAAGTATACACAGGTGGTCTGTTGTTGACCCAGACTTCAACCCAGGCTATCTGACTCTAGGGGCCACTCTCTTAACCCCGCCCTTCTCCTCAGTGGTCGGAGCTGAAGTATTATCTTGCTTGATTTTTCAGTTTACCTTTTTGAGAGTTAAATCTGTGTGGAGGAGGAAAGGAGGAGAGACTAGAAGCGGAGAGGCCCTTTGGAGGCTCTGGTTCAGGCAAAAAAGGATGGTGAGTTTAATCTTGGGAGGGGGGGTGACTTTGAAATTTGGCAAGTTCAAGAGGCTTTAGGAAATTAGAATGAATAGTACATTGATCCATTCACTCAGCAGCTACTATCTGTCTGTTTAGAGGCAGGATCTTGCTCTGTCATCCAGGCTGGAGTGCAGTGGTACAATTATGGTTCACTATAACCTCAATTTCCTGGGTGCAAGTGATCCTCCTGCCTCAGCCTCCCAAGTAGCTGGGAATACAGTGCGTGTCACTACTAAAAATTTTTATAGAGATGGGTTCTGTCTATGTTGCCCAGGCTGGTCTTGAACTCCTGGCTTCAAGTGATTCTCCTGCCTTGGCCTCCCAAAGTGTTGGGATTACAGGTATAAGCCGCCATGCCTAGCCATCTGTTTATTGAGCAGCTAAGATGTGCCAGGCCCAGAAATGGCCAGGCCTGGGTTGGGGGGTGGCCCAGAAAGATTGCTGGTCTGTGAGTGAGAGGGGTGAGTCAAAAGTGACCTCACCAGATAAGGAGAGTTCTTCCTGAAATGAAGGTGCAGCCCACACCACTGCCTGAGGCAGAAGGAGTTAAGGGGAGCCTCCTGGAAGGGTCCCATCCTGCAGGTGAGAAGCGAGGGCCATCTGCAAGTGGGGCCGCCTGTAGTTTCCACCTGGCTGTGATGGGTTCCTTTTTGGCTCAAGTTGAGGTTTGCTTTGGCATGATTCCTCATTAATTACCCTTGGAGGTAATTCTGCAAATGCCAGTAATGACCAGTAGTTAATCTCTCTCTCTCCTGCTTGCCTCGCTTCTTCACTTGTTTTTTTCTTTAATGGGCCATCCAACCTTGTTGGAATGTTTACCAAAGCAGGATAGTTAGAGATGTAAATAAATGAATTTACCTTGTCTAAAGGATCTGGAGATAGAATTAAGGTGAGAGGAGTAATTTACAGGTGAATAATTACTTGGAAACCTCAGCAGAGAGACTGCTGGCGTTCTCTAATTATTTCTCTTCTCCCAATTTTCTCTTCTTTGAACTGCCAGCACGGGGGTGTACAGGGGTGGCATGGGGGGCTGGAGATGTTATTCTGGATTTCCCCTTGTGATTGTGAAATTCCTTCTGGGGAGGGCCTTGCCAGGATGTAGGGTTGTGACTTGCATGGCACTTTCACACCATGACTTCATTCAGATCCTCTGTGAGCGCTCTAGGTGGATGGTATGGCTAGCCACATTTATGGATGGAGAAATTGAGGTTCCTATATGTGAAGTCATTCCCCACAAGCCACACCACGGATCAGTTGCGTATTGTGGCTCAGACCCAGGTTTCTGACACTCCCCCCGCCCTACAGCTGCCTATAGGGCTTCCTCACCTGCCAGGCTGCCTTCTCCCTTCCCCAGGCAGACCCTTGACCCCTCCCAAACACCCCAGGCCGCGTGGAGCCAAAACGTTCTTTGGCGAACAACCTGCTCCGTCTTCCCTGTAAGCTAGTGGCCGCGCCCCTTCCTTACGCAGCTCATTTTCCATTTTAAGATTTCCTGTTTGAACTAAAGGGCAAAGATCTCAGCAGTATCAGCCTGGAGCCGGGCTTCTGTGTGTATAAAGGGGAGCCCTGGTCCCTGCCCTCTGTTTGTCCACTGGCCTTATCGACGGAGCCCAAGTCCCAAGTTCAGAGGCTTCAGTTCCTTCCCGATTTGCTGGGTAAAGTCCGGCCCTTCCGTGCGGGCGGCCAGGGCGGGTGGCCAGCCTGGAGCCAGCGGTCATTTATGGCCGGGCAGCGCTTCCGTCCTGCCTGGCAAGCCACTGGCTGCCGCTGACAGACGGACGGACGATGGAGAGACAAGGGCTCTTGGGGGTGCTTTCTCTTTCCCGTCCTTCCCTTTGTCCTCGGCTGAGGGCTGAACTCCTCTGGGGCTCTGCTGGCCTGGCAGCCATATGTCCCTGTAAATAGGGACAGACAGGGAGGAGGTCTGGGTTCCCTGAAGCCTCCTTGAAATTACATCTTCTTATGGGGTCGATTTGGCTCTCCAGGCCAGCATATACACTCACACTCACACACATATTCATGCTCAAGCACACACTCCCGGATAAAAACCGAGGCTCTCTATAGCTGAGTCCTTTCTCAGAGACACTGAGCTGGTGCCATTTTTATGGGGGATAATAAGAACTGTATCTTGGGAAGAACAGCACGTTAGTTCCAAGGTCCTTTCATCTCCTATGTCTCATCTGATCTGGAGGAAAATCAGGAGTCATCCAGATAGTTATCACCTGCATTTTACAGATGAGAGAAACTGAGAATCGGTGCCTTCATTTAATCATCCCTTTATTCAACGGGAGTTCCTAGGGAGCTTGCATCCACCAGGTGCTAAGGATTAAGAGGTGAAGTAGGTACAGTCCCTCTTCAGGTTGCTCAGGAAGTCAGTGATTGCAAGGCGGGGCACCAAATGCCCGAAGCAGCACCCTGGGGTGCCATGGGAGGCGGGAGTCAGGGCATGGGTTGGGGCTGGGGAAATGCTCCCATAAGGTTTGTCCAAAACCCCTGTGAAGCACAAGGAGACCCGGAGAAGGGCTGTAGCTCTTGATGGTGTGCACAGGACACATCCTACCTTTGAGTCTAGGCACAAATTGTGCATGAGGCTCTCTCTGTAGTGAAAGTCAGCCCTAGAGACACAGTGGAGAGGCTTCCTCTATTTGTGAACTGCTTTATCTCCAGGGCCTTAAATGGAGCACTCGATAAATATTTGCTGTTGAATGGACGCATACTACATACACACGTGCACACACAGTGCATGCCACTCTATCTCAGAGCTATAGAACCTACAACCTGAAGGAAGCTTCTAGAATAGTGCAGATTGATGGCTGGGGGCAGATCCAGAGTCAGAGCCATGGTGACCTGATTCTGGATCTCATATGCATGCCCTGAAGACCATGGGACTAGGTATTGAGGCACCCAAGTTCTGGTCTCCTTTACAATAGCTTTCAACTTTGTGTGACCTAATTTTTTTCCATTGCAAAGTAAGGAGGCCCTGTTGGCTGACCTCAGAAAGCCCCTTTTTCTGCTCTAACATTTGGTTAGTCTGGGAATGGGCAAATGGTACTAGGCAGGAATTTCTCCAAGCTGAGGAGAGTCCTTCTCTTTCCAGCCTGATATAGCAGGCTTCTGTCTGTTCTCCCTTGCCAACCCTCGTTGCCAGAAAAATGTAGGCCCCGTGGTCACTGCTGCTGGCCCTCTGGGCTCCTGTCTGCCTTCCCTGCTGCCTGCTGGCATGCAGGGGTGAGGGGCTATCATGTGGCTATTCTCCCACCCCCAGGCCCAGCCTCCCCATTCACTTCATCAGAACAAGGTGTCTGGGAACTGAGGAGTCTAGGGGTGACAGGGTGTCACTAGGCTCTTCCAGGCTGTGGTCAGCCCAGAGCCCCACAGCCCCAGAGCCTGTGCAGAGTCCTGCCTGGGGACTGTCCCATCTGGCCTGCCCTTCCGCCTTCCCTCTCATGGCTGCCGATGTGTGGTCTGCAGTAAATTTCTCTTGAGGCTCAGAGACTTCAGCAATGGCTATGAAAGATGTGGAGTCCCCAGTGTGCCCTCAGCCTGCAGCCATCATCTTTTCTGGGAAGTGGCACTTCAAGAGGTCATGGGGAAAAACTGTCTCCATCAGACCTCCCCACCGGGCAGCCTCTCCCACTTTGAGCCTTTCCCAATGGCATCCATGCCCCTTCCACATGATTTACCTCCCCTCCCCCACGGTGTTGTCCTTTTCTATCCCCTCTCTCTGGGAGGGAACACGGGACAGTGGAACTTGAAGTTGGAAAGACCGGGGAGTCTTTAAATCCCAGCCCTGCTGCAAATCAGCAGTATGACTTGAGCCTCAGGTTTTTCATCTATAAAATAATTACTTTTTCCCAGGCTTGTTAGGAAGATTCTATGAGATTATAGTGCATTAAAGCTCCAGGCAGGTAATAGTAGTGAACAATACTGTAGAATTAGCTGTGTACTAGGCACTGTTCCAAGCATTCCTCAACCCTAGGAGGAAAGGACTATTTACTCCCATGTTACAGGGAGGTTAAGTCATGGCCCAAGGTCAGGTAGCTTGTAGGTGGCAGAGCTGGGGTCATGAATCTAGAAGACTGGCTTGTTTTTGTTTTTTGAGACAAGGTCACTCTCTGTTGCCCAGCCTGGAGTGCAGTGTAATGGCACAATCATGGCTCACTGCAGCCTCGACCTCCCTGGGCTCAGGTGATCCTCCTACCTCAGCCCCCTAAGTAGCTGGAACCACAGGTGTCTGCCACCACACCTGGCTAATTTTTGTACTTTTTATAGAGACAGGGTTTCACTATGTTGCCCAGGCTGGTCTCCAACTCTTGGGCTGTTCTCTAACTCTTGGGCTGAAGCAATCTACCAGTCTTGGCCTTCCAGAGTGCTGAGATTACAGGTGTGAGCCACTGCGTCCAGCAGTCTGACTCTTAAACAGTTCTTCACAACCTCAAGATGCGTGTGCTTGCTGAATGTTTCTTGGGTCCAGTTGCTCCCAACTAATTTGGGAGCTGCGAGCATTTGCACTGATGAGACTGATTCGTTTTTTTTTTTTGGGGGACAGAGTTTCGCTCTTGCCGCCCAGGTGGGAGTGTAGTGTCGCGAACTCAGCTCGCTGCAACCTCCACCTCCCGGGTTCAAGTGATTCTCCCACCTCAGCCTCCTGAGTAGCTAGGGTTACAGGTGCCCGCCACCACACCTGGCTAATTTTTGTATTTTTAGTAGAGACGGGGTTTCGCCATGTTGGCCAGGCTGGTCTGGAGCTCCTGACCTCAGGTGATCCACCCACCTAGGCCTCCCAAAGTGTTGGGATCACAGGCATGAGCCACCGTGCCTGGCCAGATGAGACTGCTTCTTAAGCCATCTTGGGCGTTTCATTCACCCCTTTTCTCCCTTTGTTACCTTCCCACATCCTGTCCACACATCAAGGGCTGGGATCTGGCTCCATTTTCTAGTTCTGTACCCAGGAATGGGAGCAAAGCACCTTAGGCCAAAGTTTTAAGAGGCATAAACTGAAGCAGCGTTTGTTTTTGGGGTCTGCCATTTAAAAGGAGGCCAGAAAATGACCTCTGAGTGATTCAATTCAGCAGACACTAACATGACAGGGTAGAGGCTGCTGCCACAGAACTTACAGCCGGTGGTGTTGCTGGCAGGATCCCCCCAACCCAGGCTAGGCTGTCAGGAGCAAGAGGGATGCGTGTCTTAGCTTTAGCACCTGCAAGCACCAGAGGCCAGTCTGGAAGGGAACTGGGAAACCAGATCAGAGAGGAAGAGGCTGTGCCCATTTCACAGAGAGGAAGGGTAAGGTTTAAGGCCCAGACCCAGCACTCTTGACTTGGTGATTTCTTTGACTCCTTTCTTCCTTTTACATTTTGTCTCTATTTTTTTTAATTTTAATTTTTAATTTTATTTTTTATTTCCATAGGTGTTTGGGAAACAGGTGGTATTTGATTACAAGAGTCATCCTTTAGTGGTACACTCATCACTGAGTAGTATACACTAAACCCAATTTGTAGTCTTTTATCCCTCACCCCCACCCCACCCTTTTCTCCAAGTCCCCAAAGTCCATTGTATCATTCTTATGCCTTTGCATCTTCATAGCTTAGCTCCCACATATGAGTGAGAACATACGAAGTTTTTTCCATTTCCTGAGTTACTTCACTTGGAATAATAGTCTCCAGTTCCATCCAGGTTGCTGCGAATGCCATTAGTTCATTTCTTTTTATGACTGCATTATCTCTCTTTTCAAAACTTCAGGAGAGAGAAGAAGGCCCCAGCAACCCATGATGGGTGGAAGTCCCACATGTAGATAGGGGCCCTGGACGGAGGTTGTTGCCTGTTCTGTGAAGGAGCATGAGGAAGGGTGAGGATGAGGGAGTTTTAGCAGCAGGAGAGGAGATGAAGTGACTTGCTCAGGGACACAGAACTTTTCTGCTTCCAGGAAGACAGTATCACTGTATCACTTCTCATCTGGCAAGCTGAAGGCTCCTTCTTTTTGAGACAGAGTCTTACTCTGTCTCCCAGGCTGAAGTGCAGTGGTACGATAACAGCTCACTGCAGCCTTTACTTCCCAGGCTCAAGTGATCCTCCTACCTCAGCCTCCCGAGTAGCTGGGACCACAGCTGTGCACCACTGTGCCCAGCTAATTTTTAATTTTTTTTTTGTAGAGACAGGATCTCACTGTGTTGCCCAGGTTTGAGAGGGCCTTCTGAGCAGAGAGTTTGAGGCAACAAACTAGAAGCAGCACAGTGAGAAGCACTTGTTCTGGGAACGCAGAGCCTTGAGTTTGCGGCTCTGCCACAAAGTCACTGCATGGTCTGGAGTGTGGTTCTTCCTGTCTGGACTCACCTGTCCCAGCTGCATAAAGACACCCCTTCCACTGACCACACGTCTCCAGGCAGATCCAGGCTCAGGCTCAGTCAACCATTCTCATGTTTTTTTTTTTTTCCTTGAGACAGGGTCTTGCTCTGTTGCCCAGGCTGGAGTGCGATGTAGCAGCGTGGTCACGGCTCACTGCAGCCTTGATTTGCTGGGCTTAAATGATCCTCCCACCTCATCCACTAGAGTAGCTGGGACTACCAGCACACACCACCACATCTGGGTAATTTGTAAAAATTTTTTGTAGAGACGAGGTCTCACGATATTGCCCAGGCTTATTCCCGTGTTCTTGCATTAGGGATCAGGGTACAGGAGTAGTTACAGGCTGGGGAAGAGAAAATCTTTATTTTCTATTTTCCAATCATTTAATTCTTCTGTGAGTCTGCTCCTGTAACATCTACTGCAGGTGAGAGAGTTTCCTTTTAGTTTCTAACAAGAAATGCATAGTTTTCTTCCTGTGACTTGAAATAGAAAAAAGAAGACAGGGGTAGTGATAGAATGCCTTAGCTAGGACAGGGGTGAGATTGAAAGGGGAACCTCAATTCTAAGGCAACATTGGTTGTAGGTCACATTTTTAATTCAATACTCGCCTTTACGGGACGGGGAAGGAAGATGCATTGTCACCATGAGCATCTGTGGTAAGTTGTAACCAGACTTCAGAAATGGCCAAATGTGAGAAAAAAAAAAAAATAGGTGTGTTAGGATGGAGGAAATATGATATTTACTTAGAAATGAAAATTGATTGCCTTTAACTTACGATAAGATAATTATGTTCCTCTGAGTCATTGTCATGCATTTGTGTTCATAAACCTCCCTCATTAAGTAGTAAGGGTACGCATTTTATCTTAATTCGTTTTTTATAGGGCTGTGAATTCCTGCATTTATCTACCTTTGTTTTCCTGTGTAGACACAAGGCTGCCTGGCCTCTCAGAGGTGAGATAACTTATTATCTAGCAACTATTTCCCTGGAGCCCAGCCTGAGCTGAAGTGGGCTTTCATTTCTCCTCTTACTGCCTTGCAGTGTAACTTTGGGTACACTTTATCTGCCTGCCTCTGTTTTCTGGTCTGGGTGAAGTTAATATATTAAGTCTCTCATAGGGCTATTGAAAGGATTAAATGAGATATGGTTATATCACTTCTATGAAGGAGGAGCTGATGCTGCCTAAAGCCCATGCATCAACTCAGCCATTCCTCTCTACTGTCTCAGTTAACAAGAATGGCCCATGTAAACATGAATTGGTGTTGGGCTGATAATGTGGTCTCCTGAGAAGGGGCAGGAGAAAGTCTCTGAGAATGGAGCCAATTCCGATGGAGGCTCAGAGATCGCATTGCCTGGGTTCAAATCCTTGCTTGACAACTCACCAGCTGCATGACGTTGAACATACCATCATGTAACTCTTTAGGTCTCAGTTTTTTCATCTGCAAAATGGGAGTAGTAATAGTATGTACGCGATAGAACAGCTGTGAGGATTCAATGGGAATATCAAATGTGTGTATAGAATTTAGTGCAATCAAATAGAGCTCTATTAATTTTTAATCAAGATATGTGCCAGACCTTGTACTAGACACTTTACATATATTAGCAGCTGACACCAGCAGGTTCCCCTAAAAGCTTGAATCACCTCTCCTGGGTCTGATCTTTGTGGAGGATCCTGGGTTAAGATGGGAGCTTTGGTGATTGCTGGAGAGCTCCACAGGGCAGTGGCTCAGCATTGTCAATCTCTCCTTGGGCAAACCCTACCTTTGTGTCTGAAAAAGTCACTTCTAATAGCAGAGTCCCTTTGAAACGCCTTAAGTTTAAGGGAGACAGGCCAGTACCACTTGTTGGATAATCTCTAGGTTCCCAGCATCTCAAAATACTTCATATACTTCAGCTCAGTCGGTCCTTGTGAAAACTCCACAATGCCAATGTTATTGTCCCATTTTGCAGCTGAGGGACATCATAGTGTGCGGTTGTTAAAGACCACGGGCTCTGGAGCTATACTCCTTGGATTCAAATCCAGGCTCTTCCATCAACTAACTGTATGACCATGGGTACTTGACGTCTAAGATCTGTGCCTCTGTTTACTTTTCTGTTAAATGGGAATAGCAGCCAAATTTCACAGGTGATAGTGGGAATTCCATTAGCTATTTAATGATTCCCCATAAATGGTAGCAGGAGGCTGATGCTGCTGGTGAAAAATGATCAGAAAGGAGAAGTCCCAACCAGGCGCAGTGGCTCACACCTGTAATCCTAGCACTTTTGGACACCGAGGCAGGTGGACCACCTAAGGTCAGGAGTTTGAGACCAGCCTGGCCAACATGGTAAAACCCCGTATCTATCTACTAAAAATACAGAAATTAGCTGGGTGTGGTGGTGCACCCCTGTAATCCCAGCTACTTGGGAGGCTGAGGAAGGAGAATCACTTGAACCTGGGAGGTGGAGGTTGCAGTGAGCTGAGATCACGCCATTGCACTCCAGCCTGTGGGACAGGAGAAAGACTCCCTCTTAAAAAAAAAAAAAAAAAAGGAGAAGTCCTACATCTAGGGTACTTAGCCAGGAAGAAGTAGAAGTAAGTCTGCAGCCTGGAATCCAGATAGGCTTGACTCTAAAGCTTATGCCCTGATCAACAGTATTGTGTTTTCCTCCTTAGCTGAGCTTTCCTAATCAAATTAGTTCTAGACAGAGCCCAGAGGCTGCTGAAAGGCCACCTTTATAGGTGGAAGGCAACAGTAGCCGCTCTTATGGAGCTACTTCTCAATAAGGACCTAGCACAGACCTAATGACTCACACTTGATCAAGGAAAACAGTTCACAGACCATCACAGGCTAATTCTTCTGGTCCATGCAGTGCAGGCATTCAGGGATAATGTGTCTGGCTTGTACCACTGATGAGAGAATTATGTGGCACATTTGCTCTTTTTTTTTTTTTTTTTGAGATGGAGTCTAACATTGTCACCCAGGCTGGAGTATAGTGGCGAGATCTCAGCTCACTGCAACCTCCGACTCCCAGGTTCAAGTGATTCTCCTGCCTCGGCCTCCTGAATAGCTGGGATTACAGGCGCCTGCCACCATGCTTGGCTGATTTTTGCAGTTTTGGTAGAGACGGGGTTTCACCACATTGGTCAGACTGGTCTCGAACTCCTGACCTCAAGTGATCCGCCCACCTCAGACTCCCTAAGTGCTGGGATTACGGGCGTGAGCCACCGTGCCCGGTCACGTTTTCTATTATTATTATTATTATTATTATTATTATTATTATTATTATTATTATTATTTTGTCACCCAGGCTGGAGTGCAGTGGTGTGATCTCAGCTCATTGCAACCTCAACCTCCTGGGCTCAAGCAATCCTCCCACCTCAGCCTCCTGAGTAGTGAGATGACAGGTGCATGCCACCATGCCCAGCTAATTTTTTGCATTTTTTGGAGAGATGGGGTTTTGCCATTTTGTCCAGGCTGGTTTTGAACTCCTGAGCTCAAGTGATCTGCCCACCTTGGCCTCCCAAAGTACTGGGATTACAGGTGTGAGACACTGCACCTAGCCTGCACATTTGCTATTTTTGTAGACTCTTTTAGGGGATGTCTGTCCTTTTAGAGAGAGAGAGGAAGAATATGCAATCCAGGATGGAGGAATAGACTGCAGCCAGCATGTCAGGAGGGGATAGATGGAGAGGGCGAGGAATGATATTTGGGTACCTGCTCTATGTCCAGCACAGAGCCAGGTGCTTCCCTGATTGGATAGGTACTGTCTCCCCACTACCCCGCAGAATAACTCAGGGAGCTGCAGGGCCTTGTATAAGGTCACACACAAAGAAGTGGTGGAGTGACTGTTTCAGTCCTCCTGGTCTGATTTCAGTGTCTTTAACACCCCAAGACCTTTTTCACCCATGCCCTGAGCACATGCTGGTCTCTGCCTGGAATTTCTCCCATTCTGGGCATACTGCTACATTCTAAAAAATTCTTTCTTTAAGCTCTACGTTTGCTTCACAGTTTCACCACACATGCAATTATTTATTTATTTGCCTTTAAGCTTGGGGGGTGCGTGGCGGACAGATTTCCACAATGAAATGTAAATGACAAGAGAGCAAGGCATTGTCTGCCTTGTTCATCCTATGGCCCCAGCACCTAAAACAATGCTTGGCCCTTAGTAGGTATTTAATATTTCCTTAATAAAAAAAAATAAGAGCAAAGAATCTGACTCAGAGTCCAGGTTTATTAAAGATATAATTTACTGGCCGGGTGCGGTGGCTCATGCCTGTAATGCCAGCACTTTGGGAGGCCGAGGTGGGTGGATTACCTGATGTCGAGAGTTCGAGACCAGCCTGGCCAACATGGTGAAACCCCATCTCTACTAAAATCACAAAATTAGCTGGGCGTGGTGGCGCATGCCTGTAATCCCAGCTACTCAGGAGGCTGAGGCAGGAGGATTGCTTGAACCCAGGAGGCAGAGGTTGCAGTGAGCCAAGATCGTGCCATTGCACTCCAGCCTGGGCAACAAGAGCAAAACTCCTCAAAAAAAAAAAAAAGAGAAAAGAAAAGATATAATTCACTGACCACAGAATTCACCTAACAGTGTATAATTAAATGGTTTTTTAGTGTATTCACAAAGTTGTACATTTTCGTCACCCCAAAAGAAAACCTTGCATTCATCAGCAGTCACTCCTTATTCCCCTTCTCCCCCAGTCCCTGGCAACCTTGATCTACTTTCTGTCTGTATGGATTTGCCTGTTCTGCACCTTTCACATTAAATGGAATCCTATTATATGCCCATCAGTTGATGGGGATGTGGGTTCTTTCCATTTTTCGGCAATTGTGGATAATGCTACTATGAACATTCGCATACATGTGTTTGTGTGGACATGTGTTTGCATTTCTGTTGGGTATATCCCTTCATCCTGCTGCTTCTTTTATTTATTTATTTATTTATTTTTTGAGACAGATTCTTGCTCTGTCACCCAGACTGGAGTGCAGTGGCGTGATCTCAGCTCACTGCAACCTCTGCCTCCCGGGTTCAAGCAATTCTCCTGCCTCACCCTCCTGAGTAGCTGGGATTACAGGTGTGTACCACCACACCTGGCTAATTTTTGTATTTTTTAGTAGAGTCGGGGTTTTGCCATGTTGGTCAGGCTGGCCTCAAACTCCTAACCTCAGGTGATCTGCCCGCCTCCTCCACTCAAAGTGCTGGGATTACAGGTATGAGTCACTGCGCCCAGCCTACCACCTTGCTTCTTAACTCTCTTTTGACAGCCAATGATAGAAGCCTCTCATTTGAATGGGCACAGCCTGGCTTTCTGGGAGGAGCTAATCTGCCTTTCCTCCTATTCCAACTGCGTCTACTCAGGATTTACCCTCCAAGGACATCTCCAAAAATGCTGGGGCTGGGGGAATCTGAAGCCTTCCCATCCGTGTGGCCTGGCAGGCATGCTAGCCTCTTGGCTTGGAGTCACCACTTAGCACCTCACCTTTCCTCTTTATAGAGGGAGAACAAAGATCGAAATGCCTCGTCCCCAGACAAAAACAGACACAGCATTTTAATGATTAACACTGTAACCGTGTTATTGGCCTGCGCAGGCCTCTTGCCATCAGTGAGGCAGGAACAGCCCTGCTGCCTCTTGCTCTAAACCCCAGGGGGAAGGGTAATTTAATAAAGATTCAGTGCTTCCCTGTGAAAGTCCCAGGACATACTTCCTCCTGCCATTGAGAGGTTGCTTGGTAGGTTCTGGGCATTTCTGAAACTCTCCACTGTGACCCACAGTGTATGAGCCTTTTTTACCTGCCCCCAGGTGCTCTGCTGGGTACTTTTCATCTATTATCTCATTTTTTATTCTCCCAGTCACCCAGCCAAGCAGCTGGACCTATCTCCATTTTACAGTTGTGGAAGATGAATCCAAGCTTTAATCTTTCATTCCCCTGCTAGACCAAGGAATGCAGAAATACCTAAAGAAACATCTGGAAGTAAAAGATGCTGCCACAAAGAAGTTCAACTACTTCTTTGTCTCTTCCTTTTGGGGTGATTTTTCTTTCACTTTACTTGTTCTTGTAAAGAATCTTCCTACCTTTCCATTGCCCCTTCCCTCCCACCCACTCTACCCCTGTCATTCTCCTTAGTTGATCTGGAGTGGATGCAGAGGGACCTACATTTGTTTCAGCATAATTCACTCGTCAGCCTTTTATTCAGGTGCTGACTTATCCGGTTGTAAATTCAGTCATTCATTCCATGCTCATTTCCTGTTCTCCTTCTATGTTCAACACCAAGCTCCATGCTGTGGATTCAAAGGTGGTCGTGGTGTGGTCCAGATCTTCAAAGCCCTCATAATCTAGTGGGGAAAGAAGAGATGCAAGCAAGCAGTTTCTAATTAACATGATGAGAGCTCCTAGAGAGGGACTTACACTGTGTTGCAAGAACATAAGGAACAAAAATCAACCTGAAGATAGGCCAGGCACAGTGGCTCACATCTGTGATACCAGCACTTTAGGAGGCCGAGGCAGGTGGATCACTTGAGGTCAGGAGTTTGAGACCAGCCTGGCCAACATGGCGAAACCCCATCTCTACTAAAAATACAAAAAAATTAGCTGGCCATGGTGGTGCCTGTCTGTAGTTCCAGCTACTTGGAAGGCTGAGGCAGGAGAATTGCTGGAACCCGGGAGGCAGAGGTTGCAGTGAGCCAAGATTGTGCCACTGTACTCCAGCCTGGGTGACAGAGCAAGACTCTGTCTCAAAAAAAGAAAACAAAAACAAAAACTAACCTGAAGAAATCATGGAAGACCTCCTAGAGAAAGTGTCACGAGAGTTGGGAACTGAAGCAAAAATAGGAGTTTATTAATTTCTCTTTAATTCCTTTAAAGACCATATCAGTGGTCTAGACCCACCTGCTTCCAGTCTCCTGCATTTAAGCAGACATTCTCCATGTCACATACCTGGCCTTTCCTGACAATAGCTGTTGAGACCAGAGATTGACCTCAGGCCCCAAGTAAGCTAATTCTTAGATAGGCTGGAGATCATTGATTAGTGGCCTGACTTGAAAAGTTGAGCTCAGCCAATCAGATTCCTTCTTCGGGAAGTTAGACTTGGGAAGAGAGGGATGGATCTAGTTGGTGCTGGTGCTGCATTTGCAAATATGCAAGGTAGAATTGGGAAGCCACAATGATTGTCTACCAGTGAAGGTGTAGGGACACTAAAGCAACAAGGAAACAGGAGACGCCTAGGGAGAAAGCAGAGATGTAGCGAGGGCTAGAGAGTCCAGTGACTTCAGAAACAGAAAAAACATTAGGAGCTGCCGGGGGTGACAATGTTTCTCAGTCCCCACTGTGGCCCTTCCTGTCCTGGAATGTCTGCATGAGACCACTGAACAGCCCCACATACATTCCCCGTCCTTTAAAAATGAGCTTAAATGAGCCTTGGTTCTTGAAACCCAGGGTCTTAGCTATAACAATATTCCAAAAATGTTTTCATGGAGAGCAGGGCTTTTCTAGTTGAGTAAGAAGAAGAGAGAGGTGATAGTGGAACATTCTAAAATAACCAACGTTAGCTCTGAGAGGGTGGGAGGTTCAGTTTGGCTGGGCCTAGAGTCAGTGATGGGGCTGGTAAAATCTGGAGCCAGACTGGAAGGGCTTTGAGAAGACACCTTCGTCTTCGTAATTTATGGTGAAATTGTAGTAACAACAAGTCAGTTCTACAAGTAACACTAGTAAATCAGGATGCACAAGACAGGGCTTTGCCAGGAATGAGCCCATCCATTTCCCTTTTATTCCTGGCCTCACTTTATAGGTAGTTCTCATCAGAGGCATTTTATCTTGGCTGAACTTTTGGCAATGGCAAAGCTGAGGGAAATGCTTTTTTTTTTTTTTTTTTTAAACAAGCCTCCACCTTTTTACAGGCCCCTCTTGCCAGCACTTTCTGTTATCAGGAGCTGGGAGATTTCATAGTTCTCATTTGTCATTGAACTAGAGTGTTTTCCTGTCCTGCCTCTTCCCAGGGGTGTTGACCTTGGAAAAGTGACTCAGTCTCCTTGAATCTCATTTTCTTTACTTGTAAATGAGGGTAATTATATTTACCCAGCTGAATTCTAGGGTGGTGCTTTTCCAACTTTCTCTGGGGAACCACCAGGGATTTTTTTTTTTTAATTCATTTATTTATCTTTTTTTTTTTTTTTTTTTTTTTTTTTTTTTGAGACAGGGTCTTGCTCTGTCACCCAGGCTGGAGTACAGTGATGTGATCTTGGCTCACTGCAACCTCCACCTCCCAGGTTCAAGTGATTCTCCTCCCTCAGCCTCCCGAGTAGCTGGGACTATAGGTGCACGCCACCACACCTAGCTAATTTTTGTATTTTTAGTAGAGACGGGGTTTCACCATGTTGACCAGGCTCGTCTTGAACTGCTGACCTAAAGTGATCCACCTGCCTGGGTCTCCCAAAGTGCTGGGATTACAAGCTTGAGCCACCACACCCGGCCTATTTATTTTAATTTTTTATTTTTCAATCCGTGATGAACCAGTACAAGCATGCAGCTTGGGCCATATGCAACCTGAGTTCAACAGCACCCAAACTAGTCTAGACCCCATTCCAGAAGACAAGTCTGCTAGTCACATGCTTGAATGTTATTGCACTGTTAAAACACTAGAGAGGTTTCTAACATGTTGCTTTCAATTCTGTGTTTATTATTGTGAACTGGAAACGCGTAGTTCGCAGACTAGCATCAGTCCATGGACCAGATTCGAGCGACACTGCCTTAGTAGTCTTACGAAATCCAATCAAGGCAACTTATGGGGTAGGGCTTTGGGACTGAGGGTGTGCTTTATATGTAACTTGCATATGTGAACCGTGTTTATGGGATCATAATGTAATGCCGATCTCATGTTTCCTGAATGTTTGTAACTCTTTCTTTGTCTTCTCTGGTTATATTCTTGGGCTGACAATGTTTTCTGGTATGTCCTTTTCTCTTTGCTTGTGACTTGGCATTCTATTCTGCACTGGAACACAGTATGTCCGCATACAAAGGCTGCAGGTTTTAGAGTCAGGGTTGGAGCTAGAATTTGGGCTCTGATACTTTCTAGTGATGAGATGTTGGACAAATTGTTTGATTGTCCCTCAACTTCTGCATTAATTTAATTTAACTTAATTAATTTATTTTTTTGAGACAGGGTCTGGCTCTATCACCCAGGCTGGAGTGCAGTCATGATAACTTGGCTCACTGCAACCTCCACCTCCTGGGCTCAAGCCATCCTCCTACCTCAGCCTCCTGAGTAGCTGGGACTACAGATGTGTACCGCCACACCTGGGTAATTTAAAAATTTTTTTAGAGATGGGGTTTCACTTTGTTGCTCAGGCTGGTCTCCAACTCCTGAGCTCAAGTGATCAACCCACCTAGGCCTCCCAAAGTGCTGGGATCACAGGCTTGAGCCACTGCCCTCTTTTCTATTAACAGAGTGCTGATAATACCTAGCTGGTGGCTATTGTGAGAATTAAATGATTTAATGTGAAAAACCATGTCTTGTGTCTAGTAGGTACCCAGTAAAGCAGCTTGCTTTGCTCTTGTACTCTGATGACATTTTTGTCTGTCTTACATTCTGTGTGATTTGGAGGCTCAGGAAGTGGCACAGGCAGGCTAATAAACCATGGTGGCGGCAGCATCATAGATCGTGATGTCAGCATAGCCCCCATACTTTGCTGTTGCCCCAAGAGGAGCCAGAATCAAACACTATGGGTGAGCTAAGTGCTGAATCCCTTCTCTTTAATAGTGTCTCTACCTCAAGGGACCCCTGGAGCCCACACAGCCACAGAGTCCCAAAAGGTCCCTGCTGATGGGGCTCGGGCTATTGGGCACAGATGCTGTTCGGTGCCTGTCCTTTGCTTAGGGCATTCTTCCCAGCTGACAGAGCCCTGGTTTAGTCATGGAAGGTGTCTCTGTCTCCAGCTCAGGGGTGAATCTTGATTAGTTTAACCAGTAACTGCAATCCCATGTTCCCTTATCAGTAATGAATTTTGGGGTGGGTGTGTCTCTCAGTACGGCCTGAGACTTAAAGTCAAACTCCTAGGCTCAAGTGATCCTCCTTCCTCAGCCTCCTGAGTCGCTGGGACTACAGGCACACGGCACCACACCTGGCTGATTAAAAACAAAAAAAAAAGCCCGGGTGCGGTGGCTCACACCTGTAATCCTAGCACTTTGGGAGGCCCAGGTGGGCAGATCACGAGGTCAGGAGTTCGAGACCAGCCTGACCAACATGGCGAAACCCTGTCTCTACTAAAAATACGAAAATTAGCTGGGTATGGTGGCATGCGCCTGTAATCCCAGTTACTCAGGAGGCTGAGGCAGGAGAATCACTTGAACCCAGGAGGTGGAGATTGCAGTGAGCTGAGATTGTGCCACCGCACTCCAGGCTGGTGACAAGCTAAAACTCCATTTCAAAAAAAAAAAAAAATTAAAGCAGGGAGCTGATGGGAGGCACCTGGAAAAGGTTTCTTCTACTCTTACCACTAGAAGATTCAGGCTTTTTCTGCCTCTGGATGTTTTTCAATCCAGATGTGAGGTCTAGAACTGTGGCAGCCCTCTTGGGACCATGAGGGGAGCCAGTCTAAGAACAAAGTTGATATGTTGAGACATGGAAAAAACATGGATCCTAGATGAAGTTATTGAATCAGCTCTGAAGTCACTCCACCTCTGGCCTTTATGGTGTATAAATTGGACAAAATGAACTTGTAATCATTGTGCTAGCACTCCGTATCAAAATCCTCAAATAAAATGTGAGGAAATGGCTTTGCCGGTACTGTGCAATGCTGAAGGCAGAGTGATGTTTGAGAATTCCTGGGCATGGACTCTGCTTTCTTTCTGCAGTTGAGGAAATGGACTCATTCATGTTGTGTTTAAACATTCCCTTGAATAGAAGCCATAGATGTTAGAGTAAATTCTATTCTAGTGACATGAGCAACGAGTAAAAAAGAGCAGTGACATAGCCCTTTGAATCTCATTAGAAGCCTCACTAAGATGTGTGCTGTGATCTGCACCTGACTGACTGACGTGTTATTCTGAATTCAATAATATTCTCTACCTTTGAATAATTAAAACGGGGACTTACTATAATGGGTAAGGATGTGTAGGGGTGTGTGTGTGTGTGTGTGTGTGAGTGTGTGTGTGCCTCTTCTGTAACTCACCTGAAATCCCTGTAGTTGTTCTATTTGAGGTAATACATTTCCTAATAATTCTTCTTCTTTCTTCTTTCTTCTTTTTTGAGACAGGATCTTACTCTGTCACCCAGGCTAGAGTGCAGTGGTGCAATCATAGCTCACTGCAGCCTCAAACTCCTAGGCTCAAGTGATCCTCCCTCCTTAGCTTCCTGAGTTGCTGGGACTACAGGCACACGTCACCACACCCAGCTAATTAAAAAAATAAAAACACTTTGTGTGTGTGTGTGTGTGTTTAGAGCTGGGGTCTTGCAATGTTGCTCAGGCTGTCTCAAACTTCTATACTTTAGTGATTCCCCACCTCAGCCTCCCGAAGTGGTGGGATTGCAAGTGTGAGCCACCATGCCTGGCCTAAATTTCCTAATTCTTTAAGTCGCTTTAAGTTGAGTGGCTTATTCTTTGCTCTTGAAAACACCTTAATTGATATATGTTCCAACTGTGAGTGTTTGGCCAGTGGGTTCAGGGGTAACACTGGGGTTAGGGACACAAAAGCATATGCTTTCTAAATTTTGCTCTAAGTTTTCACAGTGAATCTGAGAGATCATGTTTGAAATAATCCAGTCCATTCTGCCCTTCATTCATTTGTTTGTTTGAACCTGTTGAGTGCTTCTCATGTGTCAACCACTGTGCCTGGCACTGGGAATGCATTGGAGAAGCGGTCTTGCCTTGGGAACATCATGATCTAATTGACAAACACTTTGGTGGCTCTGCCTGCTAAACTCTCTTACAGGATTCTCAATATCTTGGAAACCATTTATGTGTCCCTTCAAGATTTTTTTTTTTTTTTTTTTTTTTTTAGACAGAGTCTCACTCTGTTGCTTAGGCTGGAGTGCAGTGGCGCAATTGCGGCTTATTGCAACCTCTGCCTCCCGGGTTCAAGCGATTCTCCTGCCTCAGCCTCCCAAGTAACTGGGATTACAGGCACCTGCCACCACGCCCAGCTAATTTTTTGTATCTTTAGTAGAGATGGGGTTTCATCATGTTGGGCAGGCTGGTCTCGAACTCCTGACCTCAGGTGATCCACCTGCTTTGGCCTCCCAAAGTGCTGGAATTACAGGCATGAGCCACCGTGCCCGGCCCACTTCAAGATTTTTAATCCATCTGAGATGTGCCAGGGAAGGAGAGACTTGTTTCTGTTGTCATTAGAAAACCCAGGTTTGTGTGGCGCTGGTTTCAATAAATGTGTCCATCATGTTGGTCAGCAAGAACATCACGTTGGGAAGTGTAATAGCCATAGCTTTTCTTTACATGCTAAAACACAATAAATATTTACATTGGAGGCAGAAAGTAACCACATATTAAATATCTGGGTCTCAGATCATGGGTTATTGGTTTTCAAATGGGCATTTTTTTCAGCTTTATGATCCACCCTAGTGACAGTGGTGATACTTCTCTATACTTCTGTGCAGGTCCTGATGTGTATTCACTGGCTCTTGTGTCCTTATCTTATCTAAAGCATTGTAGAAGAGAACAAATACATCTAATCTTCAGGACAGTGCCTTTGCAGGTGGACAGGGATAGCATATCAAGCACTGAACACTTTGAGCCGGGGAGGCTTTGAGCTTGTGATGTCTTCAGGGAAATGAACATGTGACATGGGGGAATAAGTCTGTTTTTTTTTTAATTAATTAATTAATTAATTTTTTTTTGAGATGGAGTTTTGCTTTTGTCACCCAGGCTGGAGTGTAATGGCGCGATCTTGGATCACCACAACATCCGCCTCCCAGGTTCAACCGATTCTCCTGCCTCAGCCTCCCGAGTAGCTGGGATTACAGGCATGCACCAACACGCCCAGCTAATTATGTATTTTTAGTAGAGACGGGGTTTCTCCATGTTGGTCAGGCTGGTCTTGAGCTTCCGACCTCAGGTGATCCACCCACCTCGGCCTCCCAAAGTGCTGGAATTACAGGCGTGAGCCACCATGCCCGGCATAAGTCTGTTTTTTATACAACAAACGAATGACTAGCATCTCTGTGATAGCAGTAAGTCCCAGAACATGGGTCTTCTTCTTTTTTTTTTTTTTTTTTTTTGAGATGGAGTTTTGCTGTTGTTGCCCAGCTGGAGTGCAATGGCACGATCTCAACTCACTGCAACCTCCGCCTCCCGGGTTCAGGCGATTCTCCTGCCTCAGCCTCCCAAGTAGTTGGGATTATAGGTATGCACTACCATGCCTGGCTAATTTTTTATTTTTATTTTTTTTTAGTAGAGACAGGGTTTCACCATGTTGGTCAGGCTGGTCTTGAACTCTTGACCTCAGGTGATCTGCCCACCTCAGCCTTCCAAAGTCCTAGGATTACAGGCGTGAGCCACTGCACCCGGCCCAGTCTTCTTTTTCATCTCTCTGAAACTCGTGCTTTTGCTTCTTAGAGGAGAGCCCCACTTAGGACCTGGCCCTTTTTTCTCATCCTGCATGTTGCCCCTCAGAAAAGAATAATTGAACCAGGCACAAGAGAGAAGGGCTTTTGGTGGATGGAGGATGGCGGTTTTGGCAAAGTGTTCATTTTTCTTTTCTTCAAGCTCAGATGAGGAAACCCAGGTAGGTTGTGAGATGGTATGAAGTGTATGTATTCATCACGAGGGCCCCCACGGGGGCGGAAGGCAGGAGCTGAACTCCTCCCTGGTGTTCAGAGCTGGGGTTGATTGCATGGAGTGAGGATTCTTGGTAAGTGTAGAGTCCAGGCTCTACCCTTGATAATTGCTCCTTCTCTTCTTTGTAGCTTTTACTTGTATTGCTTCTACCACATCATAAACAGTTTATTATATTTCCATTCAATTAAACCCAGGTTTATTGAACTAGATTCAGCGATAGGTACAAGGGACATTGAAATGAATCAGACACTAGTCCTCGCGAGACTCATGAACTAGGGGGAGAGACTGACAGATTGACAGCCCAGAAAACTCAGTATCTAAGTGTCCCTATAAATAAGACACACAGGGGCTAAGAGAGCACAGAGATGGGGCTTCTCACCAGCCATGAGAGGTCATGACGACTTGGGGAACAGTTAGTTCAGTGTGACTGGAGCTGAGTGTCTGTCTTAGTTCAGGCTGCTATTAGCAAATTACTATGGACTGGGTGGCTTAGAAAACAGAGATTGATTTCTCACACTTTGGGGACTGAAAATCCAAGGTCAGGCTGCCAGCATGGTCAGGTTCTGCCACGGTTCCTCTTCCAGGTTGCAGACTACCAACTTTCTGTTGTAGCCTCTCACATGGCGAAGAGAGGGTGGGAGAGAGTTCTCTGGGTCCCCCCGATATTTTTTTGAGACAGTCTCTCTCTGACGCCCAGGCTGGAGTGCATTGGTGCTATCTCAGCTCACTGCAACCTCTGCCTCCTGGGTTCAAGCGATTCTTTGCCTCAGCTTCCCAAGTAGCTGGGACTACAGGCACACGCCACTGCCCTTGGCTAATTTTTGCAGTCACAGGGTTTTGCCATGTTGGCCAGGCTGGTCTCGAACTCCTGATCTCGTTATAATACTCCTTATAATGTAATGATGATTAGCATTATGTTTTTATTGTAATTGTCATTATGATTATTAAATTTATGCATCAAACATTTATCCTAGTTCTGAGCTGTGTACCTCTGAATCCAAGATCCCATTGTAACTTTACAACAGCTCTAGGAGGTTGGCATGATTCCTACAGCCCAAACATTCTGCAGCTTTTCATTCTGAATCTGGTCATTTTGCATAACTCCACATTGCCTGTTTATTGTAAAATCAACTTGTAAGGAAATAAAAAGCACAAGTAAAATAACCCTGGATCTATATGACTTCCACATCACCTGTTTGTTTTTACACCCTCCCTTCCTGTAGTGATCCACATGTGTTTAGATTTTGATTACAGGTATATGTTCATTTTTAAATATAGGTACAATCTGTATGATGTTATATCCTTCCTTTATCACTTAACATTATTTTCTATTCTATATTGCCATGTTTTTCCTTTTCTTTTCTTTTTCTTTCTTTTTTTTTTGAGACGGAGTTTCACTTTTGTTGCCCAGGTTGGAGTGCAATGGTGCAATCTTGGCTCACCGCAACATCTGCCTCCTGAGTTCAAGTGATTCTCCTGCCTCGGCCTCCTGAGTAGCTGGAATTACAGGCACCCACCACCATGCCCAGCTAATTTTTTGTATTTTTAGTAGAGAAGGGGTTTCACTATGTTGACCAGGCTGGTCTTGAACTCCTGACCTTGTGATCCACCCGCCTAGGCCTCCCAAAGTGCTGGGATTACAGGCATGAGCCACCACACCTGGCCTATATTGGGACATTTTTCTAATACTTTATAATTTTCTCTGGCTGTAGTAGCTACCTTGTGGATATGCCATTATTCACTCACTTAAAGACGGCTATTTTTTGAACATTTTAGATTATGGCGACTATCTATGTCTATGGTGTTTTGAAAATTTCTTCTGAGTTGACTTCTCGGAGTAAATTGTCAGGAGAGGAGTTATTAAATTAAAATGTAGTCAACATGTATTTGTTGAGCACCTGTTTGCTCCAGGCTATGCTCAGTAGCTGGAGGCACAGCTATGAATGGGACAAACATGACCCCAGTTCTCCTCAAGCTTTCATTGCTCTGGGGGAGACAGAGACCAAAGGGATAAGCAAATAAACAAACAAAATAATTATGGGCCTGGTGCAGTTGCTTACACCTGTAATCCCAGCACTTTGGGAGGCTGAGGCAAGAGGATCACTTAAGCCCAGGAGTTCAAGACCAGCCTGGGCAACATAGTGAGATCCTGTCTCTACAGAAGATTAAAAAATTAGCTGGGCATGGTGGTGAATATCTGTGGTCCCACCTACTTGGGAGGCTGAGGTGGGAGGACTGCTTGAGCCCATGAAGTCGAGGCTGCAGTGAACCATGTTCATGATACTGCACTCCAGCCTAGACAACAGAGCGAGACCCTGTCTCAAAACAAAAACAAAAATATACACAAAAACAAAAACAAAATCAAAATAATTATGCATTGTGATAGTGCTGTGAAAAGATAAACAAAGTGATGGGATAGAAAATAATGGGAGAGTCCACTTGGATAGCTTTCCTGGCAGCCACTCTGAGAAAGGGTCATTTGAGCTGAGACCCAGAGAATGAGAATGAACTGGCCATTCAGAGTGATCCGCCGAGAGAGAGTGCTCACGTGCAAAATGGGCACCTGAACATATGGAGTGGGCTTGATCTGTGAGCAGTGTACAGTATACAGACAGCCACACGTTTCAGTGTAATCACTTGCTCCAAAAATCTGGATTCTGTTTAGTGAAATTATTTAATTCTTCTCTCCTGACTCCTGTGTGGCCTCCTGATGCGTTTCTCTGTTTTCACTTTTGTCCTTCTTCAATCAATTTGCCACTCAGCAGCCAGCATAACTGTGTAAGCGTGCATCATGCATGAGCTGCAAGTTTGAGAAACCCCATAGTAACCCTGTCTCAAAATATTTAAAAAAAATAGCATTTAATGGCTTACATAGCTGAAAAGTCTGGATACATCTGGGTCCAAAGGGTCAAACTATAGCTCAGGACTTTCTCAGCTCTGCTTGCCTCTGGGAGTTACTCTTATGCATGCTGTCCCCCTGTTGTGGTAAGATGGGCACTAGCAGTTCAGTTTGCGTCTTTACCAACAGGTCTGGCTGAAGTCTTGTTTATTGGCCTGGTTGAGCGACATGCTGGGAGTGGGTTCGTGAATTGGTTGGGATGATGGAGAGGCGGGGGGAGGCAGTAATCAATTAGCCAAGCATGGATTTCTGGTACTGCAGAGGGAAGTCAATACCATCCAAATCTCATAGGATGAAAAGAAAATAGCATTCTACTGCAAGAAGAAGACGTGGAATGCTGGGCAGGCAAATGCAAGATGATCTCCATCATCATCTCCACCTCTGTCTTCATCTCCACTTACATTTACCTCTGTATCTACAGAGAGATTCTCCTCTCTCACTCATTACACTGTAGCCACACTGGCTTCCTTTCTCATCCTGGAAGCCCTGAACTCCCATCTGTCTCCAACACTTGGCACATGTTCCTTCTCTCTGCTTGGATCGCTCTTGGAATGACCCTTCAGCTCTTAGCTCAAATGACTTTTTCTCAGAAGCTTCCTTGGCTGTCTTTCCCTGGCTGTCCATTCAGGTGGGACTACTTCAATTAATTTCTTTCTTTCTAAGAAACAGGATCTTTTTATTGGCCAGGCTGGTCTTGAACTCCTGGGCTCAAATGATCCTCCCACCTCATCCTCCCGAGTAGCTGGGACTACAGGCATACACCACTGCTCATGATCCCCAATTAATTGCTATTCCATCACCTTGTCTGTCTCTTTGTTTGCCCCTTTGGTCTCTGTTTCTCTCACCAGTATGTAAGCTTGGAGAGGATAGGAACTGTGCCTGTCCTGTTCCTTGTGGTTTCTCTAGCTCCTCAGACACCTGGAACATAACAGGTGCTATGTGTAGAGTAAATCTGTATAAAGTAACGGAATGAATAGATGGACATTAGTGTCTTCAGTCTTCCTGGGTTGTGATGAAGTCACTTGCTTAAATAATATAGGTTTAGACCAGGGTCCCAAACTCAGAGACCAGGAGCCACCAGAGCTTAAGCTTTGTTCTTGTTGTTGTTGAGACAGTGTATTAGTCAGGGTTTCCTAGGGGGATAGATAGATAGATAGATAGATAGATAGATAGATAGATAGATAAATTAAGCATTAACTTACATGATCACAAGGTCCCACAATAGGTTGTCTGCAAACTTGAGGAGCACGGAGTGTAGTCCGAGTCTCAAAACTGAAGAAATTGGAGTCTGATGTTTGAGGGCAGGAAGCGTTCAGCAAGGGAGAAAGATGTAGGCTAGGAGGCTAGTCAGTCTCACGTTTTCATGTTTTTCTGCCTCCTTTAGATTTACTGGCAGCTGATTAGATTATACCCATCAGATTAAGGGTGGGTCTGCCTTCCCCAGCCCACTGACTCAAATGTTAATCTCTTTTGGCAACACCCTCACAGACACACCCAGGACCAATACTTCGCATCCTTCAATTCAATCAAATTGACACTCAGCGTTAACCATCACAGATGGAGTCTTGCTCTGTCGCCCAGGCTGGAGTACAGTGGCACGATCTCTGCTCACTGCAACAGGCACTTCCAGATTCAAGAGATTCTCCTGCCTCAGCATCCCAAGTAGCTAATTTTTTGTAATTTTAGTACAGATGGGGTTTCACCATGTTGCCCAGGCTGGTCTTGAACTCCTGGCCTCAGGCGATCTGCCCACTTCGGCCTCCCAAAGTGCTGGAATTATAGACGTGAACCACTGTGCATGGCCCAGAGCCCAAGCTTTGACTTCAGAAGTTTTAGTTCCTAGCTTTGTTTTCTTTCCTACCTTGAACAAACCAGTAGACCTTTCCTCTGCTTCAGTTTTTTTCCTAGCATTAGCACAAAGATCCTTACCTCCTGGGAGTAGGGGGAGTGGTGGGAATCAAAAGTGATGTGAGATGCGTCTGGATTTTATAATCTGAAGGGTGTTATGCTAGGGCTTGTTATTGCCAATAGATGGATGAACCGTCTGGGGGTGGGATCCCAAGCCACCCCCACTTTGTCACTCTTTCTCCTCTCCCTTCCTTGCATGTCTGGTTTCTAGCTCTCTTATATCCTTATATATTAATCAGTTTATTTGCCAAATATTCACTGAGTGGCTGCACTATCCCTGCCCCAGTGCTAGGTGCTGGGTTATGGTGGTGAACAAGTCTTGTTTGGGGAGTTGTAGGGGTGTATTTGTGTGTGCGTGTGAGTGTGTGTTTGCACCTGTACATGTGTGCAGTAGGGAGAGCAGAGACAGGAATGAAGGACCCCTCCCCAACCCCAGCAACCTGTTGGCTTTTTTTTTTTTTTTCAGGGGGGACAGAGTCTCACTCTGTTGTCTAGGCTGGAGTGCAGTGACATGATCTTGGCTAACCTCCACCTCCTGGGTTCAAGCGATTCTCATACCTCAGCCTCCGGAGTAGCTGGGGTGGCAGGCGTGTGCCGCCATGTCCTGCTAATTTTTGTATTTTTAGTAGAGATAGGGTCTTACCATGTTGCCCAGGCTCGTCTCAAGCTCCTGGCCTCAAGTGATCCATCCACCTTGGCCTCCAAAAGTGCTGGGATTACGGGCATGAGCTATCACATATGGCTAATTTTTGTATTTTTAGTAGAGACAGGGTTTTGCCATGTTGGTCAGGCTGGTCTCAAACTCCTGGCCTTATGTGGTCTGCCTGCCTTGGCCTCCCAAAGTGCTGGGATTACAGGCATGAGCCACCTTGCCTGGCCGTGAGGTCTTCTCACAGATTATTCTGCCTGTTTATTTGCAAAAAGGTGGGGACCCTTGGCTTTCAATGATAATTGTGTGTGTGAAGAACTGGCAGGTCATCAACTGTAATTTTTTTTAATTAAAAAATTAAGATGATCTTCAAAGGCACAAAATTAAAAACACCGGGAATGAAAATCACTAGGTTTCTCATTTGGTGTGGACACAACGGTTTGCTTCCTCTGATTTCTCCCCAGAGGCCCAGGGTATGGAGCAACCTCAGGCCAGCCTGCTTGGCTCTTCCTCATTTGGCCAGGGCGCTTGCTGAGTGTGAAGCCTTCTTCCAGGGCTCTTCATGTGAACAAACTGCATGCAGCCCTTGATTTCGTCACTGCCTGCAAGGGCTCAGGACCCTCCAAGCGTGCTTTTCATCTGGGAAATCTTTATTCTTTTATACTCTTCTGTCTGTCATCAGGATTTGGGCCTGATAACATAGTTTGAAACACTCCAGAGGTTTTGTCAAATGCCACTTTAGCTTTCTGGTGAAGACTCAAAGAATATATGCTGGGCTGAGGCTGGCACATTTATCCTTCTGGCCATTTTGGTAATTGGCTTTTGGGGAAGTGTGCTCCCCATGGGGGCCTCTCTGAAACCTCCATACTAAGGCGTGGATGGGAAAAACAAAAACCTTTCCAGAGCAAGCTGAAGGGTGAGAAAGAAATAACCTTTTTTTTTTTTTTTTTTTTTTTTTTAAGACAGAGTCTCGCTCAGTTGCCCAGGCTGAAGTGCAGTGGTATGATCTCGGCTCACTGCAACCTCTGCCTCCCAGGTTCAAACGATTCTCCTGCCTCAGGAGTAGCTGGGATTATAGCCATGCACCACCACCCCTGGCTAATTTTTGTAGCTTTAGTAGAGATGGGGTTTTGCCATATTGGCCAGGCTGGTCTCGAACTCCTGACCTGAGGCGATCCGCCCACCTCGGCCTCCCAGAGTGCTGGGATTACAGGCGCGAGCCACTGCTCCTGGCCAGAATAACATTTTTGTTCACCCCAGTCCTATCCTTTTCTGTCTGCTCTATTCACCCACGTACCTTTTGGTGGCCGTCATTAAAGGCAGAGGCTCTGCTTCTTTGGTTCATGAATTATTTGCAGAAAACTTGCTTTGCCTGGGTTCTAGACTCGTTCAACATTGGGCCTTTGGCTGTAATTCCTATCTTCGGTCTTTCTCTTGCTCCTGCCCCTCATATTGACCAATTTATTTAGGTTCCCCCAGCTCAGTGCTTGGAGTTCCCTCAGGATCTGCCTTGGACTCCATCCTACTGGCCTTCCATAGGGTTCTCCAATTCCGGAAGTGCTCTGCAGGCCTCAGTCTCTAGCCTGGACTTGCTTAGTGGGTTCATCCAAGACTCAGATGCTTACCATGGACCCAGCACTGACCAGACACCTGGAGGTTTGTTTGATCTGGTTGGCTCACACTGGGGGCAGCTTGTTCTTAGGATTCCTTTCCCTGAATCCCCAGAGGGCTTGATTCCCTACCCTTCACCCCCAACAGGTGTCCAGCATGCCTGTTGCCTGTGCTGAGGCAGTAAAACAATTCTTCAGTGCTATAAACTCAAGGGCTCACCTGTTGAAGGTCAGTGTGTTCAGAGGTGTTTTTACAGCCAGTAAACATAGCACCCATTTACAGTGGAGCACATTGGGTTGTAAATTATTTCACCGATAGCACTAGCCCCTTATTGACAGAGAAATGGGGGAAATTACACAACCACTCTATATGGTGAGAAAATGCAGTTCTGGTGATACCCATGGACTGCCTGTATCATTCTACTGATGAATTATTTCTTTTCTTTCCCCACCCCCAGCCTGTTATTTAACATTGGATTTTGGCTACAGACCCAAGCCACATTTGCTCAGTTTTTTTGTTTTTTTTCTCTGCTAGTACTATAGCCTTTGAAAGGCATTCATTTTGCCTAAGCTGGCTATGTGATGGGTGTTTCCTAGATGTGAGACTCTGTCATTGACAACTAGTGAACTTTGGGACTTAAAGGTATTTCAGGAATTGATGGGGACTACTCATGTGCTGTCTTCTGCTTTGGGATGACTTCTAGGAGCCCTGGCCACTGCTACCATGGGCAAAGACTGGGTGTTCCTGCCCCATGACTATGCAGAAGGAAACCCCAAATCACCTGCTAGCAAGCATATTCTGTTGCTTGGCACCTCGTTCTTCATCCCGTTTGCCCTTTAAGCTGGGCCCAGGACACTGAAAACTTGGAGAAGGACTGAAAAATTACAGATCATTGAACTGAGTGTCTGGTAGCTCCTGGGGAGTAGGGAGGCCATTGGATAGGAAGCCAGACACAGATTAGAAAACTGGAACTGCTATTGTCCAGCTAAGTTCACTTGAACACTTCACATCTCCCTGGGCCTCAGTTTCTTCATCTGTAAAATGGGCCTAACAGGGTCTACCTTGTAAGGGAAAGGTAAAATGAAAATGCCTGCAAAAGAGCATGGCATGTCGTA